>NC_000010.11:10464545-10616060 GCF_000001405.40 Homo sapiens | reverse complement strand
TAGATACACTTCATTAAACATATAATGTTGATTTATTAACACTGAACTCCAGCCAAGAGCATCCTAACACATGCTTGCAAGAGGTTTATATAATACACAGGCTTTCTTGATAATGTATATCATAGCTTTCTTGTTCTTAGGAACATTAGACTTCCTTCACCAGTTATATTAGTTCATTCTTGCACTGCTATAAATACATACTTCGGACTGGGTAATTTTTAAAGAAAAGAGGTTTAATTGGGCTTATGGTTCTGCCTGGCTGTACAGGCTTCTGGGGAGGCCTCAGGAAACTTACAATCATGGTGGAAGGTGAAGGGGAAGCAAGCACATCTTACATGGTGGGAGCAGGAGGAAGAGAGAGTGGGGAGGTGTCACACTTTTAAACAACCAGATCTTGTGAGAATTCATTCACTATCATGAGAACAGCAAAGGGGAAATCTGCCCCCGTGGTCCAATCACCTCTCACCAGGTCCCTCCTCCAACACTGGGAATTACAATGTGACATGAGATTTGGGCAGGGACACAAATTCAAACCATATCAACATGACACTTAGGGACCATTTTAAACAGCAACATCACTACCACAAAGCGCAGAAATGTGGAAAACATGGCACTAAATAATCTGCGAAGAGGATACTTGCTCACAGCCTGACAGCTGGAACAGGAAGGCAGAGTGTGGCCTCCTGGACCTCAGCGGGGATGCATCCATCTGACAACCCAAATTTTTTGCTGCTTTGTGCATGTCTGTAAATGATCACAATGGGCTGCAAGTATTGATTTTGCAGTGACAAATTTTAAACAGTAGGTGAATTGGCAAATACGGGACCCACAAACAATGAAGATGAACAGGACTTTCATACATGTCTTACTTCCCCCCTAGTTTGATACAGTATTTGTGCCTTACTTCATGGCTTTATAAATTAGACAACAGTGAGTAGGTTGCTCAGTTATGTATCAGGGACTAGAATTTAACAGGCCTCCTTGGTTGATGGGAAGACGGCTCCCAGGAACTGGAAGATGGGAGCCAGACCGACCAAACTGTACCTTTACTAAACTAAGCCCATGGATACCATCATGCTCTTCAGAGCTTGCCTCTTCGTCGATTCCCATGACCTGATTGCTTCCCACCACCGAAAAAGAGTTATGTGTAGACAAGTTGTGTCTTGGGACCTACGTGCTTTGCTCTTTCCTGTGTCTGTTTCCTGAAGAACAGATTCTTCATTTACCATCTCACCTTCGCCTGGGCTCTGGACAGTAATTGCAGAGAAAAAAGTCCTGAATTCACTATCCAACCTCCAATCGGTGGCTTGTAAACCTGGATAACCTGCTTTATCTTAATAGTGTGATAACAACTGGCAAGGACAGTGACATGAAGATAAGGCTGGGCCCATCTCTCTCCCTGTCAACAGGCCTAGCACCTTGTTCATTTTTATTTGCGAATAAGCAACTCCATCAATTCTCTCTTGCCGAGTTCCTGGTGGCAGCCTCTGTGGAGTGGTAGGGAATGTGAATCACTCACGATCAGGTCTGAAGACAGTGGAATTTTACAACTTTAGTTTAGTTTTGTTTTGTTTAAATGGAGCCATTTGCCGTAAGATAAATCTTCCTTTAAAGTCAGAAAAACAACTCCTATGGAGAACTGCCTTCCGGATGTGGCTGCTGGGTGAGAGGCTGCCTTATAGGGATTGGGAGAATTGCTTATTTGGAGGAAAATGAGGTAGGAGTGGAGAGAAGGAGACAGTCTTCTACCACTCTGGTAGAGCGGGAATGCTAGCAGTCATCTAATTGGTGTTCAATGTAAGAGCGTAATAAAAATGGCTAAAATTACCAAAGGGAAAATGGGGGAGGAAGGAGACATCTGGTCAACCTAATCAACCTTCTAGATTGGCTAATCTAGATCCTAGAATCCAAATTATTCGAGAAACACAAGCCCAGTCTCCTTTGCACAAACATTACTTGGGTTACTGCCCACTCTCATGAATTCTCCACTAGCTGGGGAGAGGGCCAAAGCATTTGTTTATTTCCTCATTCTGACTCAACCTCTTTATTCTACACTTGCTAGTCCAAATAATGCCATTTAAAAATTATAGACATTGAGGGCAATAAAAAAAATCCAGCCCTTGTTTCCAAAATGCTTATCACCTTCCAGGAAGGAGCAATAAATCCAAGGGACATCAGTAAGATGAATAATAATTTTGGGGAGGTTATGGTACTCCAAAGAATCGTTTCTATTTTGCACTGTGATTATCTCGCCATAATCATACCCCTGTGTTACATTATTGCTCATAATAAAAGTCCACATATTGGAGAGGAAAAGCTTTTTCTTTTAAAGCATTTTCAGGAAGGATTAGAAGTTATTTCAAATACAAGCCATGGCAGCCCTAACAGGGGACCAACTGATACATGTTTGCATTCAACAATTTGAGAGGAAGTTAATTGTAACGAAGGGGGAAAAGTCAGGAATCTGTTACATTCTGCCATCTCTGTAATTAAACAATAAAACTACTATATCATTTCACACAGACATTGTAAATACTAAATTAAGAAGCCCCGATGAAATGTCAGAAGCATTCTCTTATGAGTTTATATCAGCCATACGATCACCACATTGATTCCGCATGCCAATGAGATAACATTCCACTGTGTTTATTTTTCTCCCAATTGCCTTCCGGAAAGTAATAAAATTAAATCCAGTATGATATTAAATGTAAACATGCATGGATATTATATGTAAATACCCATTTTAAACTCTCTCTGCTTTTTGGTATTTTCTGGGCATAATGTTGTCAAGCAACAATAATATTCCGATCCCCCACATGGCTTACACTTACTTTGAGGACGAACAGAAAAAACTCCCTTTGTAATTCCACTTGACATTTATTTCATGATTTGTGGCAAAGAAAATACTAGGAAAAAAAAACCCTCTACTTTTAAAAGTTACTGAGCTAAGAGTTTCGAAGCCATTAAAGTTTGATTTCCAATGCTTACACCTTGAATGGGTGTCTGTTGAGCGTTTCTTTAGGCTGCTTGACTTCCTCTGATGCTAGTTTTATTTTCTCATTTTAAAATCTGGCACTTCATGCTAACTGGATGAATAAAACAATTGCACTCATCTAACCGTGGGTTGAAATGTCCAGCTAAGACTCTATTCTTACAATTCAGACACCAAGTAAGATCTTTCTTACTATATGGAATGCTTTAATTTGGAGAAAACTAGGCTTCTCATCAGGATGAAGTGACCAGTCATCTTAAATTACATGGGCCTGATACAAGAATCTGGCTCTGAAGGGACATGCAAACTGGTCAGATGTGGTGGCTCCAAATGGGAGCACAGGAGCTCCCGAAGGAATACAGCAAAGGGTATCACAGGATTAGCAGAAAGAAAGGCATCCAATACAAACCCATTACTTTGAAGATGTGATGGAGACCTGGAGAAATTGAGAGGCTTACTGTCATGACTCAACTTCCTTCTACCTCCCTGTAGCATCTTCTGCTGCAGAACATCTATATCTTTGCACATATTATTCCCTCCATACAGAATGTGTCTCTGCTAATCAGAATGGTTCATTTTCTCCCTCTGGCCTGTATGTTTCTGTATCTAGCAGAATTCTTGACACACAAAATTCTTAACAATTATTTGGTGACGGGATGCTTAAGCTCACAGTTAATGAGTAACAGATCTGAGATTTATTTGTGTGTGTGGTTTTTCCATTTTTATACTTCATGCCTCTTCCTTTTCACACAATCTATAGTGAAGCTTATAATTTCACCGGTGCCTGGGGAAATTGACCAAAACCAAAAGATGGAATGTACGACTGGATCTGGTTTTCCCATAAAGCAAACTGGCTTTTCTTTTTTTCCTCAATGAGATTTTTTTCATAGTTCCCCCACCCAGTGGAAATAATACTGACCATTGTGGGGATAAAAGCCACTGTCATACTTCTATGGGTAGGTCTACCAAATACTTCAATAAGTAGACTTGAAGGGAAATTTTCCTTTTGCCAAATGATTGTGTGAGCCACATAATACCA
This sequence comes from Homo sapiens, assembly GCF_000001405.40. NCBI lineage: Eukaryota > Metazoa > Chordata > Mammalia > Primates > Hominidae > Homo > Homo sapiens. The sequence goes on along the minus strand of NC_000010.11, from coordinate 10,612,029 downwards.
TAACCAGTAGAGAGGGTGATCCTCTTTCTCCTAAATTTAACTACATATTAGGCTGAAATCATGGATCTCCTTGGAGTCTTGTTAAATGTTTAGACAATGGTATGGATCAATATGAATCACTGCCTCCTCCCTCTCCCTAGTAATAAAGGACCCTGCTAAGTTCTTGCCTCTTTTGCGTTTTGACAAATAGCTTACCTGAGCACATTGTAAAATAAAAAGATAAAAGGAGATTTTATACATCAATATCTATACCTGTATCTATCTGTCTGCCTATCCATATAGAGAGAGGTGTGTGTGAGTATTTGAGTGTATGTACATAATTAACAGGCCTCATATGTCTCTGCCTCCCTGTCATTAATCTCTAGCTAAACCAGGAAATCAAGTTAGACAAGGACAGAGATGACATTGACTTTTTGGGGAAGGGTGTTTTCAATCATGTTGGATTTGTAGGGTTGTTAGCAGTAATTTGAAATGATCTCAGTTACGTTTTGTTACAAATATGGCATATTACGACTGTGTAGTCATTTCCCATGTTGGTGACTTACGGGTTCTAAAAGGCATTACTAATGCAAAAAGGAGGCCACATTTTCAAGTGCTTTGCCAAGGTAAATTTATCTGGGGTGGCAGGTTTGCAGCTTAAAAATGAAAAAGTCAAATATAAGGATGAAGAGGTATACAAAATTTTCGTAAAGTAAGATAAGGAAGGAAGTTAGGGTAAGCCCAGTGCTTGCTGTGTTGGTTCTCAATGGCTCTTTATGACCCATGATAGGTTGGCTCTTAGAGGAGCTTACCTGCTACAGAACTCCTCTCCAAGTCACTCCATATAGTCAGTTGCCAGCTTGGTTCTGGCCGCATCTGCATGAGGCCACAGTTCTTTCCCACCCACACAATAACTCAGGGGATACAGAGGAATACATGTGACATGGCCCACTACAGGGTTGCTCTCCAATCTGTCCTTTCCAACTCACATCATAGTTGGGTCATAGTAAAACATACAGAGCACCTCGTCCAAACTCATTAGCCTCATCCCCATTTTCCAATCCTAAAAGACAGAAAGTAGTGTAATCCTCAGGCCACATGGGGTCATTTTACTTCCATCTTTCTTTATTTGGACAATAATGATTTGCAAAGTATGCATTTTGACTGTCATCAGATTTATCTTTCTTTTCTCCACTCAGAATTCTGTCATTTTCTCCCCCTAATCACTATAACTGGTCTAAAAATGAGACAATGAGCCAATTAAGTTGTTTGCTTTATACCTAGTCAATAACAAGTTTGACTATTTTTATTGACTGTGCTGAATCCATTGTTGACTTTTTGGGCATCACAGAGACAAAAGCATTTATTAGCATGGAAGGACAGTTTCCTGTGAGTTAACTGCAGTTGAATTAAAGAAAACCCGCTTTCTTTAAACTTCTGACTTCCAATCTCAAAGAGTTTCTAAGTCTGTCTAAAGATAAATGTAAGATTTTAAAGTTCTCTCACATTAGCAAAAACAACTTGGAGCAATAATCATTTTAAATGAACCATCAAACATGTCACTTCTAAAAAAATACCAACCTCAAATTATAACTTACATAAACTTTCTAAAGCAACTCATGGAATAAAATGATATTCACACATGTTCTAAAATTCAGAATGAAAAATTTTGTTTTTTGAGTTGGCATCATTTTAAGGAAGTAGTGAGGGAGAGAGCGTGTGAAGATGGCACTCTGTGTAGGAAGAAGATTTTAATTCTTCATACCATGAATATCTTAAGGATACAGCTCTAATTAGTAATGCTGGAGGTTGTAGCACATTCAATCAAGCTGGTAGCATATTCATTTTGATAGATCTTATTTAACTGACTGAAGAAAAGCAAGGCTCAATGTGTTACTGTCTGTTACTTTTGATCAAAATATCAAAGGGTATTGCAGCCTGAACTAATTATCTTAATTGATATATGGTGCATAGCAAAATATATTGATCCACATAAATAGGTTCCAGATCAATTTTCCTTTTGAAAATAATGTTTACATTTAGAATGGGCCTCAGAAATTCATTGAATACGAAAGTTAAAATTAATTTCTCCTTAACCACAGTGATTAGTGAATTTCTTGTACCTTGAGCAGTTCTGAATCAACGCAAAACATCTTTGAGGGTTTGTATATTGCTCTTCCAAGCATATCTGTGAGGCAAGTAGATGCAGACGATGGCACAGCCCATTGTTTTAGCACGTTAGCAGATGGAGAGAACTGAGTCACAAGCCAGTTGGGTGAGTTGGCTAAAACCATAGCATCTAATGTGATTACAGCAATCCCCAAATAGAGTTCTCAACTCCTACATCCCATCTGTTCCTTAAAGAGACTTAGGAAGCCAATTATCTGTTCCTCTGTAAGAAGAATCTATTGATTCTATTAGGAGGAACAGAGTTGGCCCCAGCAAAGTTTGCCTTGACTTTTCCACCCCTGCACTTCTTATTCTCAGCACCTCCCCTCCCTCTTATCCTTCACATTTGCTTCCATCCATGACATTCTCATCAGCTGTTCAAAACCTTTTGCTGTGCAGCTCCTAAGGAGATGTGTGTGTGTGCACGCGCGGTGGTATTCGGGAAATCTTGACGAAAGAAACATTTATTAACCATTTTCTATGTTGCACACAATTCTCTTATTCCGGCCTCACTATGACTTATTGGATGGGATGCTATTTCATAATGTACATGCTATCAGATGCCAAATAAGCAAATTGATGATGGTAGTGCTGGTGGCAGCAAAGCAGAATGTTTATTGAGTCAGAAATAAAATGACTGGATTGTACCTTTAGCCTTGGCCAGCAAACACATGTGGCCTTGGCTAACATATAATTTTTCTCTCTGAACTTAGTTCTCTCACCTGGAATATAGGCATGACACAGTACACTAGACGAACACTAAGACTGCCTACACTAAAATGATAAAATAATGTGATTGACATGACAATCAAGGCAGGAAAGAGCAATGGTTCTCCCAGAGAAGATTACGTTTGCAAGGAGGCTGCTTTTCATCCTGGCTCACGGAGGCCAGTGTTCTCAATCCTGGCCACAAATCACAGTCACATGCCCTGCCCCCATTTCTGGAGCGTTTATACTTTCCAATACTAAGCCTGCTGATTCACGGGGTCCCTATGCCATATTTTTACAAGTACTTTTAGTTCTAGGTAGTTCTAGTTAAGATATGTGGTTCTAATTAAGAATCACTACTCTCGACGGAGGAATTCCAGATAATACAGAAAGATATGTGGCGGAGTAGAAGCTTTCCTTAGACTCCTGAATAGCATCATCTATTTGGTCTCAGTGGCTGGGCTGGGGAGAGCCTGGGAGAGCTGGAAATGTATAGATTATAGGACACAAGTGGAATGCTGTCTGTGAGGTCAGGCCTCATTTGCTTTCATTTCATCCATATCTTTGTCCCTCGCCTCTAATTCAACCTGGATTGAGTTTTAAATCTTTCCTTAAAGAACAGCCATTAAAGATGATAAAATAATCTGGCTCCCAGAGCTATCCAAGCCCACAAGTTCTAAGAGGAAACAACAGAGACATCTGCAGCATCTAATCTTGACTTTGGAGCTAATTAAGGATCCTGTGGGATGCACTAAGTCCAGGATGTTATTTTGCCTAAAGGAATGGACAGTCCTAAGGATGAATGATTTTGAGTCCCCAGGCCAGTATTAATCTGGTTGTCTTCAGGTAAACACTTCTGGTGTTCAAAAACGCTTTCTCTCTTCTCATTCAAGCAGCTCCTTGAAGCTGGAAACCCCAAACCAAGTATCTTCTGGGTAATTCCATTGCTTTCCAGGATGATATAACCAAGGTTGTAACACACGATTGGCCTCATTCAACTGATATTTAGAAGGTTTGTTTGTTTGTTTGTTTGTTTGTTTGTTTTTAACAGAGTTTTGCTCTCATTTGCCCAGGCTGGAGTACAATGGCGCTATTTCAGCTCACTGCAACCTCCACCTCCTGGGTTCAAGTGATTCACCTGCCTTAGCCTCCCAAAGTAGCTGGGATTACAGATGCCCACCATTACACCTGGCTAATTTTTGTAGTTTTAGAAGAGACAGAGTTTTACCATGTTGGTCAGGCTGGTCTCAAACTCCTGACCTCAGGTGATCCACCTGCCACCTCCCACCTCCTGGGTTCAAGTGATTCTCCTGCCTCTGCCTCCCAAAGTGCTGGGATTACAGGCCTGAGCCACCATGCCCAGCCTGATACTTAGAAGTTTTGTTTGGAGACATCCCCCCAAAACAGAGTCATGTATTGCTTTAATGCCTGGATTCTCATTTTTAGTGATCTTGGGCAAACGCTGAATCTAATTGAAAATGATTCACTCACTAGTTTTGAAGGATTTTACATTTTCTATTTCTCTCCTGAAGTCTTGCATTTGAAGAAGAATATTTACCTAATGACCTTGTTCTAAAATTCACAGAGAAAAAGTAACTAATCCCCTCCCATCCCTTTCTTACAGTATTTTTCTTTTGATACCATTGTGTTTTGGGGGAAATCAGGATGAATGAAAAACACCTGCTGCTTTTTTAGAATGGGTTTCTATACACACTTGGCTTTGAGATCTATCAAAGAATAAACCTGTAATTTCAACTACTGGTAGTTTGAACCTACAAGTTACAAATGGGAGTCACAATTCCTATGGCAGGCGTTTTGTTAGGCTGTCAGGTAGCTCATTTTGCTGCTGTTTCCTATTTTTTTTTAACATTTTCTTTACATAAATAAAATGTAACACTGTGAAAAATGAAATTCCTGAACAAAAACCACATGATGAGGTGCACCAAAGAGCAGTTACATTATTCATTTCAAGTGGTTGGCTGATGTGGAATCTTCGTTGAATATTTCAGTGTTAGGAGTATTACTGAGGTTATAAACTGAGTAAGGAAACAAAATTGCTCTTGGTCAAGGATCAGCTATTAGCATTAAATAGCTTTTGAATATTTATGGAGAGCACATAACACCACGATGATGTTTAAAGGTCTCAGCAATATTTTTCTTTGTTTTTTTCTTTAATTAAAATAGCCATAGAATTGTTAAGTTCTAGAAAGAACTTCAGAATGAGGTGAGGGTAACCTTACCCCAGGGTACACAGGGTACACAGTTAGTTCTTAACATATCTAGTCTAAGTCCTAATCTGCCATCTTTGAGTCGTTACATCTTTCTAGAAAACCATACTTTTCAAGATAAATGAGAAAGGAGACTTTCCCAGACCCTTTAAGAAATTGCTTTTTTTTGTAGTTGGCCCATCCAATTTTATACAATTATTATTTTAATATTCTAATTTTACTCTAGTGACTCCAGAGAACTTTAAGGTACAACTCATAAAGGGACCAATATAATATGTTTCGCAAAAATCTCAGTTGGTTAGAACATGTTACAAAGAACCAAGTTTGCTGATTTGAATCCCATACAATGCTAGTTAATTTTCTAGTTTTGTGACCATAACAGCTACTGGTAACTTGTGAAAATATGTGCTAAGGGCCTTGAGAGTGGCAGTGGTGCCTGCCTCTCCTCAGTTTATCACTAGTAAGCCATATTCAATTTAAAGCTAGTCCTCGACTAACCATGAGTCAGCCCCACCACTTTAATTTAATTAATTAAATTTAAGTTAATTCTCAAGGAATTTATGTAATTGTCTTTAGTTTCAGGACTGCGATTAAGATTTAGGTCTCTTATTCTCTGTCCAGTGAATTTTCCATTACAGCCTAAATCCTTCTAAGGTCTCCTGGAAGACTGAAATTGGCCAAGTCTCCTCAATCACGTTTTTTTGAGTAAAACACAGATATCTTCATGCTGCACATATTCCATTAAATGTGTTTCTAACTTGCAGTTAGGACTTACAGGAGGCAGTCACTGAATCCTTCTACCCCTTTGTTTACCTCTGAAAACCAAGGCCATATTTACTTGGATTAATGGAGACCGAAGGGTTGGGACAGAAAGGAATGGGGAGGAACACAGAACAAAACAAAACACCAGTGCTTTCCAACGTTCTGAGTCACATTCAGGGTTGTAAAATGACTTATCGCCCTGAAAATGTTGGCAGAACATTCAGCATAGATCATACATTACAGGCACATGATGCAAATGCTTCTTGGCTCGTGATTACAGACCAGCAATTTCCTAGGCCCTATCGCAGTTCCAAATAACTCATTGTATTTGCTTTCTGAACTAAGTTTTTTGGACTGATTAAACGAAGCCTCCCAAAAGCATGCCTGGCACTGGGCATATATGACTTTGCTGTTTCTCACAGGATGGATGTGACCCTCTGTTGTTGCCCAGGGTTTCACAGAATATTTGCGCAAACACACATGATCTTCATTTCCTGGACTCTTCTCAGCTTAAGCATGCATATACAATGGGATCAAATTGGCCAGGGCGAGGCCCAGTCAATGCTCTAAGCTGATTTCACGTTTGACTATGTGGTAAACCACAGGTTCAACCACGCACTCTGATTTGCCCAATAAGTCAACCAAAAGAGTAATCGTATTTGTATTCAGCTATAACGACAGAGGTTTTCTTGACAGTATGGAAAATCTACAGCCTTATTGGATAGTAGGAGTTATGTTTTTATTACTTCACATTTTTAAGTTTCAGGGTACTCGTGCAGGATGTACAGGTTTGTTACATATGTAAACGTGTACCAAGGTGCTTTGCTGCACATATCAACCCATCACCTAGGTATTAAGCCCAGCATCCATTAGGTCCTTTCCCTAATGCTCTCCCTCCCCGAACCCCACCCCCCGACAAGCCTCAGTGTGTGTTGTTCCCCTCCCTGTGTCCATGTGTTCTCATTGTTCAGCTCCCACTTATATGTGAGAATATGTGGTGTTTGGTTTTCTTTTCCTGCATCAGTTTGCTGAGGATAACGCCTTCCAGCTTCATCCATGTCCTTGCAAAGGACATGATCTCATTCTTTTTAATGGCTGCATAGTATTCCATGGTGTATATGTACCACATTTTCTTTATCCAGTCTATCGTTGATGGGCATTTGGGTTGATTCCATGTCTTTGCTATTGTGAATAGTGCTGCGATGAACATAAATGTGCATCTATCTTTATAATAGAATGATTCACGTTCCTTTGGGTATGTACCCAGTAATGGGATTGTTGGGTCAGAGTTATGCATTTTTATTTGTAACTATTTTTAAGAAGATAGAAATAAAATGGTGAGATGGAATATACATATTCAAAGAACAGACATCAAAAGTATTTCAATTTTCATATAAGGATTAAGTTATTCACATAAATAATTAACTTGGACAAAATGTTTGTATTAATAATGAAGAAGTAAGACATGCTTATTTGACTGCTTTTTCCCATTATCTGATTGAGACTCTGGGCTGCTCACTGATTAGATGCTGGCTAGAACAGGTAGGTAATTCTAGCAAAATCTATGGGAATAGCTTCTTGTAGGAAAAACAGCTAAGTAAATTCAATACATTTTATTTTCCTAAGTACTCATGTTGAGCAACATGTTTATTTCAACAAACTCATGTTGGTCTCTTGGCTTACTCACCATAGCCTATACAATGATTCTGAGAATTATTACTTCGACTACTACCATGAGGAAACTTAGAGATTCATTTTACTCTTTCTCCAGGAGATAAAACCATAGAACCTGATGATTTCAACTTGTTTTATCCTTTTGGTCAATCCTTTGTGGATATCAAACTTCTTTTTGACTAGAACCTTTGATTCATTAATTCCCAGTGAACCACAGCAACAATGCGAAATCTATCGTATCTTAAGCTAATTTGTGTTCTAAGAATGAGTTATTGTTTGTAAATCTTTTTTTGTTTGTGTCTGAGACAGTTTCACTCTGTAGCCCAGGTTGGAGCACAGTAGTGAAATCATGGCTCACTGCAACCTCCACCTCCCAGGTTCAAGCGATTCTTGTGCCTCAGCCTCCCTAGTAGTGGGGACTACAGGCACCCACCACTATACCTGGCAATTTTTTGTATTATTAGTAGAGAATGGGTTTTGTTGTTGTTGGCTAGGCTGGTCTCGAACTGCTGACCTCAAGTGATCCTCCAACCTTGGCCTCCCAAAGTGCTGGGATTCCAGGCATGAGCCACCATGCCTGGTTATTATTTGTAAATCTCTAACCAACATTTTAGTTATATATCTGAAGCATTCCAACCTTTATCATTTATATTATGAATAGTATTAATTTTATAAGTTAAAGTTTACTTTTCAAGGACAGTGTGTGTGTGTGTGTGTGTGTGTGTATGTGTAAATATCCTAGACTTTGCTTCCCTGCTCTGTCTCTGTTTAGAGATCTCACTACTTTCTGTAATAACACTAGAGACCTACAGGTTCAATAGCTGACTATTAGAGAAAAGGCACTTATCCTTATTTTATTAAGAGAGAGAATGAATTTTTTAACGTAAAATATTCCAAATTCTTGTTTAAGTTAGTGGTGCAGTTCTGGTGATGAGATTAGTGATAAAGTCTACTTTTGTGATAATTAGCCCCCTTTTCTCTCCACTCTCCTAAAATAAGAAGAGTTTAGATTGCAATGCTTCCCAAGAGGCAGAAGACAGTGGCCTCAAGGTAAAAGCAATTTGAGCCTTCATCTCAGGCTGCTTCCTCAGCTGTTCATTCATTCTGTGGCTTGAATGGGGAATGCATTGCCTAGAAATGCGAAATATATGGAAAATAATTCTACCTCCAGTTCATTGTCCTTTTGGCTATTTTTCTCATTTTGAAGCTGCATGGAGCTATTTTGGGCCTTCTCGGTGCACTTAACATTGCTTTAAAACAGATTTAAGTCTCCCTACGTGACTGAATTTCCAATTCTCTATCCGACAGAGCAGTACACTATTAAAGCTCTACCAGGTGTTCAATATGCACACATTTATCTGACTCTTCTTTTCGTTAGAAATAATAGAAAATGAAATTGAAGATTTATGGTTGAGTGTGATTTGCTGAAAATACTGGTCTAAGAACAGCTTTATGTCTACTTGGTAAAGTTACAAATGAAATCCAAAATGTTTCTAAACATAATGTACTTTCCCTCTTTGTGCTTTCCCTGGGCCTTGCTACGCACAGTCGCATGTTTTAGAGACAACTCCAAATCCCTCAACGAATGCCAGTTAGGAAAAGACAGACAAAGGTATATGTGAATTATACACCCATGATTTACCGATTTTGTGGCTCATTCATGACAAGTTGTTGAAAACAGAAGACCGGCTCCTGTTGCTCTCAAGTTCTGTGGCACATGGTGAGCATACATGCATTTCTAAAAACCTGCTCACTTTTTAGAAATGCATGTATGCTCATCAAGTCTTGATCAATTAAAAAGTAGATAAAAAATAGATAATAATATAAAAATATCTCCCTCTAGCTTTGGAGTGGGAGACTTACTGCCAAAAGTTTAATAAATTTATTAATTAAAAAACATCTGATCACCACGTCTGAGTTTGGTACACAGTTGACACTCAGTGAGTATCCGTGAAATGAAAATGACTTTGCGTAAATATAAAGGATTGTCACATCACAAAATCTGCTGTCATTAGCTATCTAGAACATGCTACTACTCCAGGCAATTCAGTTCTATTCTATTTAAAAGTGATCTAGTTCCTACCGTTTGCACAAAGTTTGATGGTTTGGGGGACTACACATGAGTAAGAGTGAACCCCGGTATGTCAGGACCCCAGACTTGTAACCAGGGTTCAAAGATTTTGCAAAATTGCAAAAGGTCAGCAAGGGTCTGAGCAATTAAAAGAAGGCCCAGGTACACAGCCTATCTCAGTGGGTACAGCTGCCACTCATAGGAAGAAAGAACTGAAACGCTATTAAAATGATACAAGCACGTTCACTGCAGCACTATTCACAATAGCAAAGACATGGAATCAACCCAAATGCCCATCAGTGATAGACTGGATAAAGAAAATGTTGTACATATACACCATGGAATACTATGCAGCCGTAAAAAGGAATGAGATCATGTCCTTTGCAGGGACATGGATGGAACTAGAAGCCATTATCCTCAGCAAACTAACACTGGAACAAAAAACCAAACACAGCATGTTCTCACTTATAAGTGGGAGTTGAACAATGAGAACACATGGACACAGGGAGGGGAATAACACACACTGGGGCCCGCTGAGGGGTGGGGTTTGGGGAGGGAGAACATTAGGAAAAATAGCTAATGGATGCTGGGCTTAATACCTGGGTGATTTGTTGATAGGTGCAGCAAATTACCATGGCACACGTTGAACTGTGTAACAAACCTGCACATCCTGCACATGTACCCCGGAACTTAAAATTAAAAAAAAAAAAAAAGAATGAACCCAAATGCTCATGCTAAACTGCAATTGAGAGAATGCAAATATAGGAGCTAAGTTTGTTTTTTGTTTGTTTTAAGACAGAATAGAACACAGATGGGCCATTCCTTAAATTTATAATGCAGTCAATTAGCCATTTAAAAGGTTAGAGACAGGATGTTTTGAAGAAAAACCAACTGTCGTTTAAATGTGCCCCATTTCAGAAGGAGCTTTCCTGGCCCAAAGTCATAGGGATGGCATCTCTTTTCCACTTAACCATGTTTTGTGCTGTTCTAGGTTTAAGTTATCAAAAGTTCTTTAGATCTCCAGATTAAATCCTGAAACCCTCACTAGAGATCCACGACAATGTTTACAACACCATTAAAATCTTCTTCTAACCTCTTCTTGCTGCTGTCCCCATCCCTGTTCTCCCTGCCACTGCAACAATGACTTTAAGTGACTTTGTATTTCCCTCCATTCCCCCTTAGGGCTTTTGATATCAGGGTTGAAGCAGTATGGAGGGGCTGAGATAATTATTCTCAGGATTATTGCAGGGAAATTAAAACCCCATTCAGTCCTGGAGAATGAAGAAGGGGAGTTCTAAGAGGTAGGGTATTGGTCAAGCTTTCTGGAGCCGACAGATCTCTTTAACTATGGAAAAGCTATGGTTCTGCTTTCTTCCGGTCTGGCTGTTGCTCTCGCCTGTGGAAGGCCTGTTCTTCCTGCTGTACGATGTCTTCCCAGACCTTGCTAACCCTGGAGTCGGACTTTCTGGATGCAAATGATGGTTCCACCCCTGCTGGCTATGTGGCATGGGCAGATGACTGCACCTCTCTGTGCTTCAGTTTGCTCATCTGTAAAATGGGAGGAGTAAATAGTGCCTATTTCACAGGGTTGAATAAGATTTAAATGAGCAACTATAAATAGATTGCTCACAGTGGTGCCATATAGTATGTTCTACTCGTTTGCTCATTAATTTATGTATTGAGCTTGACATAAAATTCTTTGGAAAAGGAGGATCCGTGTCTTTAACAAACTGAAAAACTTCTGCTCAACTTTTGTCCTCCCCACTCCCTGCTTTACATGTTAAATACATGTATCAGTTTCTCTATATTTTGGATTATTATGTTTGTCTCCTCTTCCCATATCCATCATCTGAATAAAAGCTTTTCCCAAAGTTCTACACCCAGATTTTATGCTTCCTCTGCCACTTTGGGCTTCTGTTTCCATGGCTACAAATATCACCACCATGCAGGTAACTTCCATGTCTCTGTTTTGATCCAAATTGTATCCTTTAAAAGACATTATAAGTGAAAATCATTTTAGTCCTTCCAATCAAAAGAATAAAAAGCAGAATGGCAATGGCACATGTTACAAGCAGTCCTGTGGTCTTCAAAACAACTTCAGAGATAGATCAGGCTCATATGGAGAAGTTTTAAAAATAGACTTTGGTAATTGACTCAAATGCCCCACAAGAAAACATCTCTTTTCAATGAAACCTTGCTTTGCAAACGCCCACGCAGTCCAATCATAAACCAGCTTCCTCTTTCTGAGCATCCCCTCCTGGGATGCATGAATTTCTCTGCACTTTCCTGAGGACAGAGTTGTAAGTGTTCATTAGCTCCCACCCTATTAGCTGGTAATAACTGGTAATGGTATAGTGGTGCATTTGTGCAGAAGGTCAGCATTAAGACATATAAAGAAATGGGGCAGAGGCCGGGCTCGGTGGCTCACGTCTGTAATCCCAGCACTTTGGGAGGCTGAGGTGGGTGGATCAGGAGGTCAGGAGATCGAGACCACCCTGGCTAACAGGGTGAAACCCCATCTCTACTAAAAACATAACAAATTAGCCGGGTGTGGTGGCGGGCTCCTGTAGTCCCAGCTACTCGGGAGGCTGAGGCAGGAGAATGGCGTGAACCCAGGAGGTGGAGCTTGCAGTGAGCCGAGATCGTGCCACTGCACTCCAGCCTGGGTGACAGAGCGAGACTCCATCTCAAAAAAACAAAAAAAAAAAAAAAAGAAAGAAAGAAAAGGGCAGAGACGAAACAATAAAGACAACAGAAAAAAATTAAAAACACGTCGCAGGTGGTTTGGCAGCAAAGCGCACAGTGATAACCTTTTCACTCTTTTAAGGCGTATTTTTCCATTATCTCCTTTGTAGGCTCATCAGCTTCAAAGCTAATGTTTCTCTGACTGTCAACTCCCCGTACTTTTACAGTCTTGATGGGCACATTTTATGCTATCAACTGGAATTCAGGAAGAGAATAAATTCTTTTTAATATGAGTTTGCCTACTGCTAGTAAATATGAAAATTTTTAATATTTACCAAGTACCTATTCTGAGCCAAGCATTTTGCTGGTTCCTTTTAATGCATCCCCTCATTTAGTCTTCTCAGTAAATCTGGAGGAATATAGTTCTTTTAATCTTCATTTTACAAGCAAGGAACTTGAATGTCAAGGAAATTAAGTGACAGGCTCTGGTCACAGTTTATAAGAAGTGGAGCCAAAATTTCAATTGAAGTCTCATTGAAAGTCATTGCTCTCAATGACTTCTCTATAGTATTCTTTCAATTTATACTAATTAATAATACTCACCAATATACCTGGAAGCTTAAAAATCAGTCCCCAAATTGGGCATGAGGGAAGAAAGAGAAACAAAATGCTGAATTATTAAAAAATTAGAAAATCAGCCCTGGCCGGGCATGATGGCTCACGTCTGTAATCCCAGCATTTTGGGAGGCCGAGGAGGGTGGATCACCTGAGGTCAGGAGTTTGAGACCAGCCTGGCCAACATGGCGAACCCCATCTCTACTAAAAATACAAAAATAAGCCAGGCGTGGTGGTGCATGCCTGTAATCCTAGCTACCGGGGAGGCTGAGGCAGAGAATTGCTTTAACCCGGGAGGCGGAGGTTGCAGTGAGCCGAGATCCCGCACTCCAGCCTGGCTACAGAGGGAGACTCTGTCTCAAAAAAAAAAAAAAAAAAAAAAAAAAAGAAAGAAAAAGAAAAAGAAAAAGAAAATCAGCCCTTGATTTTTTTCAAATGTTGGTGAAATCCCATAATTGTTCAGTAGGTCTGAATTCTTTAGTTTCAGTTATCAAATCTAAATAGTGTTCTCTGAATAGGCACACAATAACCTGCACAGATATGTGTAGCTTCATAACGACATGCATATGTATTGTGTCTCTGTAACCGCAGCCAGGTGGCTCTTAACCAATGCACTATGAGTTCAGAAACCCAGGTCACTTTGCCACGCTCCGTTGCAGGATGTGAGACTTCTGCAGTGGCCAGGCTTCTGTTTCCATGCTGATTAATATGGCTGCCCAGCATAAATCATGGCCCTTGTACAGAACTCACTGCCAATTCCCTGAAGAACTGTGGTAAAAGAAAAATAACAAAGCCCCTCTAGAAGAAGGATGACTGACAGACGTCTATCAAGGGCCTTTTCTGAGGAGGAACTGAGTCCCCATGTAATAAATATGTTCATACTTTATTCATGTCTACCTGAGTTTCTAGAACACAATCTTTGGCCATCACAGCATCTCATCTGAAATATTTTGATGAAACATAAGATTTGAAATGAAATATTTTCTAAGCGCTCTATGTCCTTAGGAAGGACCCCAACTCTCTCTGGACACCATTTCATATAAATATAGGAGAAAGTATTATTTCAAATGCTTTTTAACCCAGATACCAAAGGGTTCCTTTTTAACTAGAAAACACTGAATTGACAAATGATATGCCTTTTGCACAAAGAGGTAGTGTCCTTAGACTCGATTCATTAAAGGGCTCATGCCTACATCTTATTGAAAAGTAATATTTATGTATTAATATTAATATTAATTAATCCTAGATACTATTTTGTTTTGGGATGCACTGGGGAATATTTAAGAGAAAATATTTAACTGGACAAATGTGTTGCTTTATCTATAGTCAAGTGTTAGGGTCATTAGAAAAAGCACTTGAAAAAGATTGCAAAACCTTGAGCAGTGGCAGGAGAGGCCAAGGGATCAGGGCACTTGAAACGTGATTTTGTTAAAGTTGCTGTACTTTACTGTGTTCATGTGTCCAATCTTACCATTAACTTGGAATCAACTATAAGGATTTTTTACAGGACTATGTATCAGATGCCGGTCCTTTAAAGTTAATTATAATTACTATGTGATATCAAAAGGTCATTTATTCAAAATGTTCTCTTAGTCATTAGAGTTGATTTTTTTTTCATGCCACATTTGTGCTTGCCTAGAAATGACTTGGAAGTGTGGCTTGTCATTGTTATTCAAGAAACACAAAACTTTGAGGACTCTGTCCACAGCACACTGAAATGTGCTGCTTGAATTTACTGTCTGAAAAGTTGTGGTATATGAGACATAAAAACAAGCAAACAAATAATCTATATTCTCAAGGCTTACAGTATTGCCATTGTTCATAATGTCATTTCTAATGTACTATCAATCAGTTTAATGTGGCTGATTCCAAGATGCTTAATTTACACGAGTGAATTCTCTAACTCATTGGGCCTCTTTGGTTGAGTCATCTGTCTCCTTCCAAAATTTAAGTATCTGGAGACAAATCTCTTTCTATCCCTGATGAACACACTTAGAAAATTCATATTTGGCTTGAGGTTGGGAGGATGGAGTTTTATTTTCAAGACTTCCATCTGAATAGAGGGTGTCCTGGGGGTAAGCACACAGGTGACTGTCACAAGGAAGGCTCATGTGTCACTCTGGTGCTTTGGTAGTAGTTGGCAGATGAGAGAAGTTGGTCTCTTGAGTGACCCTTGAGGAACCACCATAGCTTTCTGGGTGGAGGAGGAAGAAATGTCAGGAAGAAGAGTCTGAGGAGAAGTGGGAGTTAGTACAGGAAGAATCTGTCTCCATTCACAGCAAGGGTGAAAACCCACATCCCCAAATTCCATGCCACTCCCACAGATTTCAGAGCTGTGTTTCAACTTGAAAAGAGAAAAAGGTGGAAAATACTCAAGAAGAGGAAGAAAGGACAGCTGAGGTCACGGCTTTCCTTCTTTCTGAGAAATGGGTGAAGGACAAGAGGACAAATGCCTGGGCCCAGAGGTGCCCTGCAGGCGCTCACCCCAGAAGACTTCCAGTTGTTTAAAGCAGGAGGTTGTTCAGTGTTTCCAGAAGACCACAAACTCCATCCTCTATGATCCTGTATGCTCTGTAATGCAGAATTGTCTGCTACTCCTAGGCCACCTATGGTTTTTGCAGTAGCAACTGGGTCTCCTCCTGCACAGATTGCTACCCACCCACCATGGCAAAGCAGATCCAAGCCCCACGCAAGCAGTGTTCTCTGAAAGGGCACCAAGCCACATGTGCAATTCTGAGACAAAGTGGAGAGTGGGTGGATGGCTCTGCAACCATGTTCTAAACCCAGGGAAGCAAAAACTAACTTTCTTAAATCCTTTTTCAAAGCGAACATTATAATGAAGACTTGAATGTGGTATTGCTATGCTATTTTTTTTTTTTTTTACAGGTAGAAGTTAGAATCCTTTTTCAAATTCCAAAAGTCTTGCTTTCTCACCAAGTTCAACCCTCTTCATCTCAGTACCCACTACACAAAAATGGAGCAGTAATGATCATTTTTCTGAACTACTTTTGATACAGGACAGGTGAGTCCCAAACTGGGGCTTAGCCCACAAGGGTTCTTGCTTCTCCCAGGAAAGAATTCAAGGGTGAGCTAGCCAGTGGCAGGGCAGAAGAAAACAGCTTTATTGAAGCAGTAGTGTTACAGCTCCATGACTGCTTCTGCAGATCAGAGTGACCCCATAGGCAGAGCATAACAGCTCAGGGCTGTTCTGCAGTAATATGTATACCATCTTTTCTTTTTTTAAAGATGGAATCTCACTCTGTCACCCAGGCTGGAGTGCAGTGGCGCCATCTCACCTCACTGCAACCTCCACCCCCTGGGCTCAAGCAATTTGCCTACCTCAGCCTCCTGAGTAGCTGGGACTACAGGTGCATGCTATCATACCTGGCTAATTTTTGTATTTTTTGTAGAGATGGGGGTTTCACCATTATACCTACTTTTAATTGCAAACAGATTAAGGGTCAGTTTATGCAGGTATTTCTAGGGAAAGTGTAGTCACTTCTGGGTCCCTGGGTCATTGCCATGGAAAGGAACAGTAACCCCCAGGTATTGCTGTGGCAGTAGTAAACCGACATGGCACACCAGTAGTCCTGTCTTATGGAAAGCTGCTTCCACCCCATCCTTGTTTCAGCAGGTCTTCAATTTGGTCCACTGTTTAAGCCCTACCTCTGGAGTCGAGTCCTGCCTCCCACCTCACTTTCAGTATGTCCTTATCAAATCTGAGTCATTCTGGCTACCATCATGGTTACATTGTGTGTACTTTGTATATCCTTGCCCTGACCTGGTCCCAGCACAGCCTTACAGGGTGAGGATTCTATTACCCGTGACTGTGGTACTCCTTCCTACTCCCTTTGTATGTCAAGTTCTTAGCTTTGAGTCTTCAGGCCTTTAGATTTTCCATGGATCACCTTTAAGAGGCTTGTGCATGTCCTGAAATTGTACAAATAATTTTATGTAACATACATTTTCATGGCAAGATGGTCTGTGGTATCAGTTTAAGAATTAATGACCTAGTTGGTCATTATTTCAAGATCCTTTGCCCTGTACACTAGTGTGTCTACAAACTATTCTATCTGGGCTAACGTCAAAGTCAGAGGTTGCAGCTACGTTTATGTTGCCTGGGGGCAGTCCCTCAAATGTCCTAGCATGAGCAACCAGCCCACCCTCTGGAATTTCTTCTGCCTGGAAGACTTTCTGACCTCTTCTAAGGAGAGAGATGAATTCTTCTAGTGACCCCAGAGTCCTGAGAACTAAGGGTTGAGAGAACTCCTGAAAGAACTGACTTAGTACCCAACCAGCCCACCCTTTGGAATCTCTTCTGCCTGGAAGATTTTCTGACCTCTTCTAAGGGGAGAGATGAATTCTTCTAGTGACCCCAGAGTCCTGAGAATTAAGGGTTGAGAGAATTCCTAAAAGCACTGACTTAGTACCCAACACTCCCCTAGTCATGGTTCTATGGCTCTTGAGCAAATTCTTGGTTCTGTTTTCTTCCTACCTGATGACCTTTGATTCTTGTAATGATTGGGACTCTGACATATCCTTGTGTGGATCAGTCTTGAATTGCTGCTGCTTCCTAAAGGAAGCAAAATTCTGTTCTTCTTTCCTCTGGTTGGCTGATTTTAGTTTTCTCTGCTTCTGGGCTCTTCTCTGAGCTTAGCCCCTTCTAATGGAGGCCTCTTATGGGATGGCCAGAGTTTCGCACTATGCAGTCTCATGCCTGGGCACAGGTTAGCTCGAACTAAATGCACAGTGTCTGTCCAATGGGTGCCCATAAGCCTGTATTCCTATAGGCATCTCAAACTTACCTCTCATAGAAATAATCACTTTTTCTTTCTAAATGAGCGTTTCCTCCTGCATTAACTGTACCAGTTGAAAGCAAATAGTCCACCAGTCACCTAAGCTAGAAAATCTGGCGATTTCTCTTGTGTCTCTTTTGTTCTTAGTTCCACGTACAATCAGTTTTCCTGTTTTGCCAATGCTAAACTCAAAATATTTCTCAAACCTATCACCTCTTCTCCGCCTCCACGGTTATTGCCCATTTCAGGTCTTTATCATCTCTCACTTGTACTCCTGTATCTGGATCGTAACTGCTCCCAGCCCATCATCTGCAAATCCATAATAATGATCACGATGAAGTCATGATGGCTAATGCATCATGGGTGCTCATCACAAGCTTTATACTATGTGTGTTTTATGTGCCTCCCCATATGTAATGCTCACTATAACCCTATGGAGTATGCATTTGGTGTTATTGTATCCACTTCACAGATGGGAAAACTGAGGCTTGCAGAGGTCAAAGAACTTGCTCAAAGTCTCATGTGTGGAATGTGGTGGAGCCAAGATTCAAATCCAGCTCTGTCCATCTCCAGAGCTTTCATTACAGAATCAATGATTTATTTGAAATCAGGGTTGCCTAGATGGTCCATTTAAAATACAAATCTTCCTGGTTTAAAGCCTAAAATAGTGTCCTATTTCCTTAGCGTATCACTCAGGACCCTCAATGGTCTTCCCTTTTGTGGTAGATTACTAGAATACTGGCCTGTGATATTATCACACCTCCCTGTGCCCACACCCTTGAGGTCTTCTCTCATATTAAGTGTGGACTTGGCCGGTGACTTGCTATGGCTAATGGGACATTTGGAAGTACAAAGCAAGAAAAGACTTGAGAGATGCTTGGGCATTGGGGTTTGCATACTCATGGATCTCTGAGAACTTTTCATCTTCATATGAAGAATCCAAGGTGAACTTTCTGGAGGATGAGAGACCATGTGAAGTCACTCAAGTCATTCTACTGGAGACCTTGGATGCATGAGCAAAGCCGTTCTAGATCTTCCATCTCTGGCCAAGCTGGCCCAGACCAAAAAGATACCCCAAATCACTCATAGGATCATAAGTAAATAAAATGGTTATTTTAAGCCACTAAGTTTTGGGGTGATTTGTTATACAGCAAAATCCAACTGATGTATCTGCTGACCCTCCTACCATCATGTCTCTCCACTCCTTGCTCACCACTTCAGTTCCTAACAATAGCACTCTGCTTGTTGGCTGTGGATCTGGCTTGCTTGCTTTTGCTCATGTTGAGCCCTCCACTGGGAATGCCCTTTCTCTCAGCCTGGTTAACTTGAACTCATCCTTTGCTACTTGGTTTATATTTTGTCTTATATTTCTTCTTTGACACTTCTCTTCTAAACTTTCCCTATGGCCCTTCACGTGGGGTTAGGTAGGTATCCTTTCTAAACATTTTCAAAATCCCTATCACCACGCTTCCAAATGTCTTGTTCATGGGTCTACTCCCCTGCTAGGATCTGGGGGTTTTGAGGACACCGCAACGCCCCCATGCTTTCTTCCCTTTTACCCCCAACCTCTAGCAGAGTGGCTGGCACTTAGCAGTAGCCAATAAAATGTGCTGAGTGACTGAGGAAATGAATGAATGAAATCAGGAGGAGGTTGTCTGTAACTAGCTAAGGGAAAGGCTCCCCAAATCAGTAGATATTAGTTGGTTTTGACACTCTTTAATTCACCTTTTGTGTATTTGTCTTATCTTATAAGATATGAACTCTGAAAGACAAATGCAGATGACTTTTAGTCAAAGGAAGTCGTGAGTAGCCAGCAAAGCAGTGTGTCAGAGACTTTAACATTTTGGGTTGGCTGACAGTATGAAGGAATGGAAGGTGCTAAATGAAACCCACAGAAAGGAAGGTCTGAGGTTGATTATTTTACTTGTTCAAGCGTTTAAAATAGAAATCGGAATCCATTTTCTAACAGGTTTCCTGTAACTGGATAGAAAAAATCTACCCAGAGATTCTTCTTTTTCCTTTTTCCATCCCAAACCTCCTAGCACCATCGTAAAACTCACCCTGAGACAGAGTTGATAAACTGACAGATAGTATCAAATGTCAGCCAGGGCTTCGTTTCCATCCTGAGGCTCTTGGGAACAGCATATGAACAGATTGTTCCTGCCAGAGTATCTCATTATTTTAAGCAAATTGCATTTCTCATTGACTATGTTGAAAGGTTGTACGCTAGTTATAATTACCGGTTTTACTTAATTTCCTTTTATAAATAGGTCGGTACTCCACACTTGAAAGTAGTATGTTGATTACGGATTTTTTTTTTTGTCTTTTGGCCTCAGGGACTGTTTAGTGTAGAAACTGCTGACTGAGTGAATTTAATGAAACAAATACATATCCAATTACAAGAGGATATGTGTGTGTATGTGGGGGTGTGTGTGTGAACACACATAGACTCCCAGGTAGCAAACACACACTATGCCAGGATAATATGCCTTACACTGAGTGCAGGAGAGACTTTGGGTTCTAAATACACATGGAATGAGGCACAGCAGAGCTACTGGTGACAAAGCCTCTCTTGGCGGTGGACGCTGAGTGGCTGGGAACTGAATTGCCACAGATTCCCATTCATGGAAAATCTTTGTTCTAATCAAAGTCAGTTTCCTTAAAAAGTGCAAACGTCTTAACAGAGAAGGGAAACAGATCAAACCTCCATTTCTACAGTAATTTTTAATAAAATATACATTGGTTTTTCCTGATTATAAAAGTAACACAGTTTGTCACAACACTTACAAAATAAAGAAATCTAAAGGAGAAAAGAATAAACGTTACCTTTAATCCCACCACCAAGAGATAAACATTCAGTATTTCACATCTTTCTTTAAATGTATACATCTATATGTATGTATACATATATACTTACTATATGCCCAACTTTGTGTTTTGTTTTTCCCACTAGTATTAATGTACTGAAAGCATATACCCATGTTATCTACATTTGTAAATGTAACTTTTGATATTATTCCATAGAGTGGATACACTGTTACACCTTTAACCATCCCATTATTAAATGTTTCATTAAAAAATCATTTTTGATATTATAAATAACGCAATATTGAATGTTCCCATAATTAATTTTCTATATATCTTCTCTTTCCTTTTAATGAATTAAATGAAATTTCTAGGTTATGGGGTTTGAGCTCTTTTATGTCTTAACATAGATGACGAAATCACTTTTTTTAGATATATTCTATCAGTTTATGGTCACTCAATGGTAATAGGAGTATATGTTTTATATTCTCGTGAACACCAGGAATTAAATGTTTGAAAATATCATCAATGTGATAAGTGAGAAGGTCTACTTTATTGTTTTAATTTGCATTTATTTTGTGCTTAGTAGGGATAGACAATTTTATTCATCTACCATAGCAACTTAACACATGCATTTTGCCCTGGAGGAATAGGGTTTAAAAGAATGAGACAGAGACAAATAAGTTTTGACGGACAAAGGGCAGAAAAAAAGAAATGCCCAGAGCCTAGATTTTAGCAAAAGCATCAGTTGAAGAATTTATAAAGTTTCTGACTTAACTGATGAGGGAGGGGCCAGTCCTTGGTATTTTCCACAAGCTTTGCTGGTAGATCTAACATGAAACTGAGTGGAGAACACCTGAGACAGAGCTTGGTCAGGAAGGCAGACCTGTTGGGCTGCCAAGGTGGGCTGTCCAGAGCAGTTGAGGGTGGAACACAGAGACACTGGGTACCTTCGTGGCTGGTGGTAGTAAAGGGCAGGAAAGTTATCAGAAGGGAATTAGAGGTAGAATAGCCAGTGTGATTCCGTCTTTGATTACACCACTTACTCTCAATTTGGGACTGAAAATTGTGCCTTTTATTATACAACTTACTCTCCAGTTGGGGCTGATAATTCAGTTTGTGAATTGTTCTGGTTCCTGTTTTTCTGGCTTCAGGGTGCATTTTACACATTTCCTTGCTCATAAGCACCTCTGTGAAATGTTAAAAAATAATGGCTAAAATAGAGGGCTGGGGATTATCTGTGGGTTTCAAATAGCCAATCTTTTCTTGACCCCATTGCCACAGAAAATAACAAATTAACTTTAAGATGATGTTTCTTCCCATCTCTGCACCCCAAATAGAGGGAGATTATAAAAGCCTGTGTGTGTGTGTGTGTGCATGCACATGTGTGCACTCACATGCCTGCTATGTCATACCTTAGGGCAGCACATGTTTCTATAGCCCTGGAGGCAAATAAAACCCCCAGACAGTGGCCTCACCTCTACAAGGCCATGGAAGGATTCCTGAGCACCCCGGGCAGAGACTTGAATCTACCTGTCCCAGATTTCCTGCCAGGACTGAAAAATGGGCTACTTAGAGGTAGGCACCCTAGAATCACTACTTTAGGGTTGTTTTAAGGACACTGCTCCTGGTATCTGAGGGAAGTCTAGGACCTTAGCCAGGGTTTTAGAAGCAGCATGATGTAGAGGAAAGATTATAAACCTCAGAGTCAGATAACCTGGATCCTAGCCAGCCTTTCTGCGACTCACTGTCTGAATGACGTGTGAGAATTTGCCTAATTTCTCTGGGTCTTGTGACTTTCTCATGTGAACAGTGAAGACAGTGACTCACGTCTTTTCTTGTGGGGGAAAGGATGAATTTCCATGACCCCCAGCTTGGCCAGGCACTCACCTGGTGGACTGAAATGAATCACTAAGCCCCTGTGAGTCTCATTTTCACATTCTCTCAAATGGGGTTAACAGCACCAGCCACAGCTACCTAGCTCAGACTGAGGAAAGGTGTACGAATTGGAAACAAAAATTAAAATTCTAAGTCCCCCAGCCATCTGAATGGATGTCTCCTCTCTGCCCAGGGCATTCCAAAGTTAACCTGAAAAACTAGCTGAGGCTATGATGGGAAGGGATAGTTGGATAAGCCTTATTACCATTAACATCAACACAGACCTTAAGACTGGTAGAACAAATCCTTTAACTCTGATAAGAAACATTTGCCATCTATTGTCTCTTAAGTGGGAAGCTTCATCTGCATGATAGAACCTTGGCTTCCATAAACCTGTATCTTCATCCAGACATTCCTTTCTATTGATTCCAGGTCTTTAGCTAACAACTCAACAAATTGCCCAGCGGAAAATCTTTGAATCTACTTATGACCTGGAAGCCCCCACTTCCAGTTGTCCTGCCTTTCTGGACCAAACCAATGTACATCGTACATCTATTAATTGATGTCTCCTGTCTCCCTAAAATGTATAAAACCAAGTTGTAGCCTGAGCACCTTGGGCACATGTCATTAGTACCCCCTGAGACTGTGTCACAGGTATGTCATTAACCTTGGGAAAATAAACTTCTAAATGAATTGAGATTTGTCCCAGACACTCTTTGTTTTATAGGACCGGGTAAGTTGATGTGCATGGAAACATCAAGGAGAGTTTAAACTGGCACTTCAACATAAGTGGGTGGTACTCTGTGAATACTGGCATCCACACCAGAATAGGATAGAGGAGTCTGTTTCCGAATGGAGTGCTCCAAGTCTGGAATACCTTGAGAATAGCTCTAGGGTTCATTGTTCAATTAATGGCTTTGCTGTAACATTGTTTAGCCTTTTTACCCCTTGACCTATTTTGGTAAAAATGTAAATCTCATATACTTCTTTAATGCCATTTGAAATATCAGAGTACATTAACTATCAGGAACAAACTTGAGTCATCTACAATCCCTCCAAGAGATGCCTCCTTGCTAGTCTGACCCACCCCACCACCATATTGAGCATGGCTGCTCTGAGGTAAATCCTGAGGTGACAGCCAGAGTGCCACCAGAGGCTTCTGGGTATCCCAGGGTGGTACAATCCCAATACGCCCTTTAATAGCCCTTTGGACCAACCTCAAGTTCACAGAATGCCAGAGCTGCCAGGTTCATCTGAGGCCCAGAGGAGTAAGTGACAGCTTTAGGGTCTCTCAGCCAGTGTGGGACAAGGTTGGAGCTAGGGTCACTGGTCTCATTCACCTGCTTGTTCCTGTTAGGAAATAGTCTTCCTCAAGGTTGAAGGAGTTTCTTTCTCTCCTGTGGCTCCAAGTTCCAAATTCCAATCCCCTGAAGACACCAGGGTGTCTCAAGCTGCCCTGGGATTTGGGGTAATGGGTCACGGGGCCATCAGCGTCTGAGAGACTGCCCGTTGCCAAACATGCACAATTTTAGGCCTGCTGGCTCAGTTGGTGGAAACATTTATGCTTCTTTAACACAGTCTGTTAGAAGGGATCATGCCTTCATCTTCAAGACAGCTAAAACATTATGTAAAAAAAAAAAAATTACATCTTTACCTTTTCTCACAATTCCTCCTTCTTGGTGAGTGGGCGGAGGGGGAGCAGTTAACATGTGCTTGGGCTGGAAAATCTTGTAAACCTTTTCCCAAATCTGCGGGTATCTATTTATAACATGCCCTGGGATCTTGCTCACCAAGCCCACAGAGCCATAAGCTAGTTTTACACAGTAGTCAAGCCCTCATTTCTCCTCTTGAATTTGGCTAAGTGAGCTTCTTTAGTAGTAAAATTACCAGGGGAATTCAAACAAAGAGCAAGGAAAGAGTTGAGCTGGAATTCTCAGAATGCAATTCTAGGGCTAACGTGGATAGTTTTGGTATTTCCTGCTCCTAGGACTTGTCTTGAAAAGGGACAAGGACAGATAGATCTCTACAATTTACTTACAAACAAACAACAAAAAAAGGATTTTATGTTTATTGTTATGTTAAAGATGTTTATTTTATGTTATTCTATTTTTATGTTTATTGCTATGTGAAAGATGTTTATTTTGCCACGACCGATGAGTTAAAATAATTGGGAAGGCTTCTGAACACTTTAATTGTGTAGCAAGGACTTGCCTCTTCTGTTCCCCTGAAGTTGTCTGGCAGAGGTTTCAAGGGATCCTACCGAGATGTGCTAAGAGTGATTTCAAATGCAAATGCGTTTGGGTTCAAGTAGGAAAATATATAGGAGTGAAATGAGTGAAGCAGGTTGGTTATCATTCAATGGAGCAAGTGGATTATGCATGTCCTATCGACATTTTGTTGCATGTAATTTTTGATAAATCCCCATGCGGGCTACACAATATGTGGACTCTGCCCAAGGGTGGTCTGTTGCTTTCTCCTTCTACTTGGTGATGTGAACTCCCTTTCTTTCCTTTTTCTCTCCCTTCACCAAATAGTAGCATGACAAAGTGGTTAAAGACACGGATACTAGGACAAACCCTCTCTGGGCCTCAGTTTTGATCATTTCTAAAGGGGCACCTCTGGTTCTGCTCATGTTTTGTACTTTGTTTGCAGAAACCAGCCTAGCAACCTCTTTCTTCCAAAGGCCTTCTCCCTGTACCCTGCATCAATCCACTGGCATGTTTAGGTCTTAGACATTCAGAGCAGGAAGAAACATTAAAGGCCACTATGTGTTCTAGCTGCCGTATACAATCCACCTGGTTCCTCCTGACTGTAAGAACCACCAGGAAAACGTGTTCAAAATACACATTAATGGGCCACACTTCTTAGAAATTCTGATTTAGTAATGCTGGAGATGGGTTCTGAGATCTGTATTTTAGCAAATTCTAGTGTATATTCAGGTTAGGAACCCAATGATCAAACTGATGATTCTAATTTCAAGGAAAAAAAATTACGTGGTGTGCCCAGGTTCACCCAGGTAGTGAGCATGATTAGGTTGGAACTCAGCATTGCAGGCTTCCAGCAGTTTTCCCACTACACGGCATAGCTTCCCTTGAACTTTCCAAAATGACAAGCTTCAAAGGGGAAAATGACACACTTTTTCATGAACATCTTTTTAATTTGTAAATGACATTAATTGTAGGATGTAAGTCTCAGATTTAAGGACTAGGGTATGTGTTTCAAATCAATGCATACAGAAGAGCACGCAAATGCAAACATCTTGATTTCACCCAAGCAATCTCTGAAACATGTAAGTTTCATTTGGCCTGAATTGGAGCAGTCTCCTAGAGGGTCAAACATGGCCTTTTTGTTATTCCAGGATATTCCAGAGAAAAAAGAAAAAAATTAAAAAATAGATGGTAACCAGATTTTGAGAATAGAAACCTATTTTCCCTGTTGCAAGTTATTGTCTCAAGGGAGAAAGGGAATAAGTGTAAAGCAAGCCTATTTCAGGAAAAGATTAAACAAAGACAGGCCCTGCCTCAGAGTTGTGAGAGTAAAAGCATTTGCAGTGGTGCAGCTTGAAAGCATGCCTTATTTTATTAGCATCCACTTCTCTTCTGAAAGGCTAATTGTAAAATTTATAGAGCTAATTATCTCTCCAGATTAATATTTATGAACATACAATAGTAAATGTGAGTTGCAAGTGTTGTATTAAGCATTGGCTTTTCTTTTCTCTCTTCACACATACAAGCAAACAACAGATATCTCAAGGTGATGTTAATATTCTCTCTACAATGTATGTAAACAGTCATGCTAAATTTTTCTTCCCAGTTGCTGCAAATTGGTATTTACCCAGCAACTGAAAACTATTTTTAACAGTTAATACTCTTGAAATGTATTGGGATCCTTCCGCAATATGACTGAGAACTTGGAAAATCAATTACATAAAAGATCCCCTAATCAAACAGTGAAGAGAGAGACTTCTCTTTATTGACTCATTTAAACTACATTTTATTCTTATATGACAAAGGGAGCGTAATCAAAAACACTTTATTGTTCTTCCTGCACTTGGAATATGGAGCAAATGCACCTTTATTTCCAAAAACAGAATAAGGTTAAATGTTGCACAAATACTGCACTTCCACACAAATCCTAGTGTGTTCATTCTAACACAATCAGCTGAAACCCCAACTTTTGTGTATAAATCTTAGCACTTAGCTGGTTCTCCTATCCATATACATACATCATGTAGTTTCCTTTCTCCATGACCCAAGGTAGAGAAAGGTGTACAGAGGACAGAAGGGAAAGATAACGGAAGCCAAGTTTGCTGACAAATGAATGGCTGTGGGCCAGTCCTGGAACTCTGTGTTTTAGTTTTCTTGTCCGCAGACTTAGGGGTATTTTGCTCTATTGAGAATTCCCAATCAGGGATTTATGGTTTGGCAAGAAGACAATGGATGAGTTTTGGGAATTCTCTAACCCTCCACCTCTAAAACCTCGTATGAATTGATTATACATGAATTAGTAGGAGCATCTTACTGAGAATATTCATTTGCTTCCAGCCATTCTCAAAGGGTTTCAAAACCTCAGAAAGGTTAAGGGCTATTTTACTAGATGACCTCCAAGATCCCTTCCTGTTAAAATTCTCTTTAATTCTTGCTATATCCTTGCTGTAATTTTGCTTTAGTGATCCACCCTTTCTTCTGTGCAAATCAAACTTACTTCTCTCAAAATTTCCTCCTTCTTAGACTTTAGAACTGCCCTGGTTCAACATCGTAGCCTCCAGCCACATGGGGCTATGTAAATTTAAATTAACACTAAAACTTAAAAATTCATTTCGTTAGTCTCACAACCCACATTTGAAATGATCAACAGGCTCCTGTGACTTTCGTGTGGCTACTGCATTGGACAGCAGAGACAGGGAACTCTTTCCTCATCTCAGAAAGTTATATTAGATAACATAGCGTTAAAGACAGTGGTTCCAATGCTCTCCTTACAAGAATCGATATTGTTAGTAAGCTCCACAAGTGATTCAGATACAGTGTCTATGCATTAAACTTGGAGAAACAGGGCTGTTAAAGCAAACTAAATATGTCCTGAGGAGGACTCGGTACTTCTATATTTGAGTCCTTGTGGTTGAACTGTAACCAGCTTAATAGGCAGACAAAACTGAAAACCTAACTTAGTAGTATGTACCTGTAACAATAGCTAAGTCTTGGCCAATGCCAGCGGCCACACTTCAACCATTCATACACTGCTGAGTGTTCAAACTGTGTGCAAATAAGGCATACGCCCAGCTGTAACCAATCCAGCAGTTCTGTACCTCACTTCAATTTCCGTATGTCATTTCCCCTTTTATGGTCTGTAAATCTTCTTCCACTATGTAGCTGTGCTGGAGTCTCTGTGAATCTGCTATGATTCTGGGGGCTGCCTGATTCGCAAATCGTTCATTGCTCAATTAAGCTCCTTTAAATTTAATTCAGTCAAAATTTTTCTTTTATCAGGGCTAAGTCTACATATAGAAGAGGAGCTAAAGACATCCTGACCTCTTATTTCTTGCTTGTTTTTAGGTAGGTGGTGATAACCGTGTTATCACAGACCTGCTAATCGCTCTATCAACATCCTAAGTCTCTATTCAGGGGAGTAGACAGCCTTAGCCCCCTACGGTCTTGGGGTTGGAAGGCATCTTTGAGGCTATATAGTCCACTCATTTGCCGCTTGGATCCTTTTTAGACACCTTTCCAACCTAGTGCTCTTGGACTACATACTCTAACAGGAACAGTGATGGAGACAAAACTCTCAAGGTTGCACATTTGATCTTATAAAAGCCCCAGTTACACCCTCATCTTTCCTTAGGTTGAAACATCTCCTGGTATCTTCCACTCCTGGGTTCCAGTTTTGTGTGATCACAGCTCATTTCTGACTTTGGGTGTGTGAGGATAGTGCCAGTCTCGGTCTTTCTTTCCTAGGTGTCACATTCTGTAAGTATATTCTACAGAAGGAAAGGGCTTTTGGAAAAGAATAAACTCTGGTGAGCTGCCTTGGGTGTGAGAGGAAAGAAACTGATTTCCAGTCCTGCCCCGGCAACCTGGTCTGAAGCTTTACTGGGAGAAATGACTGTCTCCTCAGCTAGAGCAAAATACAGGCAGCAACTTCAGGCTAACCCTAGAGGACCCATAGATTTTTGCATTAAAATGGTTTTGAAGCTTTGGGGCATTGAGAGACCACTTCCTTGGTACAAAATATTGTTTTTGCCAACAGCACAGGTAAGCCTGAATTACTTTCCCCATGGGGCTCATGGACAATGTAGGTGAGAACAGAAAAATATGTGAGGGATAAATCATGAGTAACTAGAAAATGCCCTGAGGACACATAGACATAAAGAAGGACAAACCTGATAAACTGTCAAATCCTGCAGTTATAAAAGTGGAGAAGAGCAGATAAATAAATTCCAGGTGTTGATGGGACCTCATTGGTACCCTTGGTTTGGTGATTCTAGAGACAAACTGTTACATATCAATCATAATCCTCTTTCACATAGTTGCACTGCAAGGCCTTCGAATATTTGAAGACAGCTTTCATTATCCCCTATGTCTTTCTTCTTTAGGTTTAAGTCTATACTATTTCTTCCATCTTTCTTTATGCTACGTGGTCTTGAAATTGTTCATTATCTACTGCACAGATTCCAGCTTGTCCAACTCCTCTTAAATTGAGAAGTCCAAGACTGAATGTTTTATTCCAGATGTGAGTTGACTGCCCTTGAATAGAAAGAAACCATCACTTCCTTCTTTCTAAATTCTACACAGTATTTGTATTAATGCAAATTTGAGATTTTACCACTTTTTTCATTGAAAGCAAAGACTGGCAGAATACAGAAGAAGGTCATGACCTGGGAGCTCCAATTCTTCCCTTTATTTTACCTTATTTGTATCATATTTTTACGCTTTTAGGGAAAAACACCATGAAATAAAAGCAGCTCCCTAGACCAGCTAGTATAGCTCAGAGAATATGAAGAGTACTCAACAATGCTTATTGATTGCTTGAAAGTCTGAGAAAGAATATGCAGGACTGAGGAAATTACTCATTACATGCAATAACAAGGTTGTTAACTGGAATTGGAAAGGATTGGGAGAGGTGGTTGGTAAAAATAAAAAATCTAGATAATGAACCATTTGTTCAATTATAAAGTGAGAAGCCTTGACTCTATAATCGCTAAGTTCCCTTCTTATCCTTAACTTATATATTTCTATGAAAAAATATAATCTCGGAAAACTATCTCAGGCATTAGCCTTTCTGATATCCCAGGTAGACAGGAATATGAGATCATCACCAAGGACCCATATCCAAAAGGTATGTAACAATGGATTTCATCAATGTATTTAAATTTTGAAAAAGAACATTTAAAATGTTGTAAGGGGCTTGCTATAAAAATACTGACATAAACTAGTTAAAATATCCCCTGAGCAGGGATTCACAAGTGCGGGCCAGTATACAGGAAAATTCGGTCAAGTGGATAGAAAGTATGATAGGAAAAGGTCCTTAGTGAGATTATATACAGTCAGACAAATTTTCACAGGAACAAGGACATCTTGGAAATCTTGCTCCGGCTAGACAGGATATGTGGATATGTGACCCCCCACCCTTTTTTTTTAGATGGAATCTTGCTCTGTTGCCCAGACTGGAGTGCAGTGGCACGATCTCAGCTCACTGCAACCTGTGCCTCCTGGGTTCAAGCAATTCTCTTGCCTCAGCTTCCTGAGTAGCTGGGATTACAGGCACCCACCACCATGCCCAACTAATTTTTGTATTTTTAGTAGACATCGGGTTTCACCATGTTGGCCAGGCTGTTCTCAAACACCTGACCTCGTGATCAGCCCACCTTGGCCTCCCAAAGTGCTGGGATTACAGGCGTGAACCACCGCGCCTGGCCTATGTGACCCTTTTAATCTTAATGTAAGTATTTGTGGATATCTTAATGGTTACCAAATCATCACATTAGTTATTTGATTTTCAAAATAATTTGGAGCTGGCTTTGTAGAATGAGTCTCTGGATTAGTTTGTTTCCTGCTCAATCCTCCTTCTTGTTGGAGCCTCATGTGACTACCCTGGTTTGCCTGAATGTGAGAGGGAGACAGTGTGCTGTTTTTCTGTTACTTGTGTTGGTGTGTCAGCTTTCCTGAGTACTACTGACACAATCTCCACCCTGCCAGAGCGTTCTCCTCATCTCTTATTTGGACTGTCATCTCCTATTTGCAATGGTCAATCCAAGTTCTAGCACTCTGGACTTCCCCATAAAGATACCCTCTTGAAAGCAAAATGGATCAAAATCGGCAGTTTTCAACTTAGCTTTCATAGATTGCTCCTTGACTCAAACAATCAGCTATTTCTAAAATTAAATATAGAAATTTTAGCTAAAGGTTGTACTTAAACTAATATCTGGGGAGCAACTAGTAGCAAATTGAATGAATAGGACCACATCTTTTGTTCAGTTGTGAATACTACTCATTTGTTAGCTTGTAAACAACACATATATTTCACAACAATTATTATGTGCAAACACTGACATCCTATCCTTTTCAGGAGATTCCAAATATGTGCAATTCACCAACATTTAAAACACAAAAACACATTATCTCTGACATACAGGCAATAATGACTATGGAGTGGAATTGTGATCCAAATAGATCTATTTTTCTATAATTGTAACCTTTTCATGGACAAGAAAGAGAAATTTATAAATGTAAATCATTCCTTACCACTCACACTATATTTTCAGGTAATTCTATTAGCTTCTTTAGAGTTTTTACAGTCACTAAGAGATCAATTCACCCATTGACTCAACCATACAGTAAATATTTATTGATCCAATGTAATACAGTTTGTTAAGCCACTTTGATTCCCTTTTCTCTGATTCTCAGGAGACAGAACTGCCAAGAGGAGAAAGCTTGAAATGGAAATACAATGATCTAGATTCTATTTTCTCTAATGTTTCGTAATCTATGTTATGTATTAGTTTCTTAAAATCATAATTAAAGAACTGCCAGGAACTTTCAAAATTGTGGGTTTCAATCATTCTGTTTTAAATATGAAGAAACTGAGGCCCAGAAAAATGAAGGAGCTTGCCGAAGGTCACACAGTTGGTTAGTGCCGGGTCAGAATGCTTAGCCAGTGGTCTTGGTAAACCATACTAACATTTAAGGGTGCGAACAGGAACAGGTTGTGAGCTTAGAAGAGTAAAAAAAGGATTTCTTATAGTCATTCCTGGGTCAATCTATGGAAGAAATAGAATCTGGAGACTTCTTTTCAGTGAACAATTCTAGATGCCAGCATGGTTAAGAGATTAATAGCAAAGTTTAATAAACTCTCTCTTGCAAAGTGCACTTATGAATTGGGGGAGACAATAGATTCCCTGCCCTAGTTTCTCTTTTCTTCTAAAGGTTGTACTTTAGAAGGTTGCCCCCACCTTAATTAATCCAGGAGTGATTATAAGCTTTTTGAATGGCTTGACCTTTCCAACTCATGGTCTCATTTTAGTGTTCATATGAAAACATATTTTGTAATATATTATTTTAAGGGAAAAACTTTCTTTAAATACATTTTCCTTGCATCATCACTATTATTACTGTGTAGAAGGAGAAGATAATTTATGGTAATCTTTTTTGATGTGTTCTTGAATTTCCACATCAGTCCAGATCTCACACTCTTTGTTATCGGTTCCTGTAAGTCAAATCTCATTTTTTTCCCCATCAGCATTCTATTTATAAACTATTACATCAATACCTCATTGTGTTTTGGGAGTGTGGGAGTGTGTGCATGTGTGTGTGTGTGTGTATTTATTTTTACTCTGCAGCTCCTACTGAAAAACAATTTTGTTTCTTTCTCAGATATTTGGAACTTTTATGTATTCCATAATATCAGATAGTTAATATTTCCTAGAGGAGATGAAACATTTCTTCAATGTATTTTGAAGATAACAATATGATACCAAAAGATGAATATTTTTACTATTCCGGGGTAACATTGCCTCTATTATGGGACTGTCTATGTTTATCCTCTTGCTGTATTTTCAAGGTGGAGGGAAGACTTTATTTTAGGCCACAAATATGTATTTATACATCTGTATCTATCTACATCCTAACTCCAATGGTATATAACAGCCCGGGGGTCTAAGGTCAATAACAAATGCAGCTCAGTGAGAAATGTGTCTTAAACAATGAGTTAACAACCTATATTAATCCTTGAGGAACTACCCAGACCAAGCCAAAGTGAGGCATCCAGTTCCTATTTATCACAGAGCCTCCATCCCCTGGAGAAAGGCAATGAGTACCATGAAGACCATCTAAAGACAGTAAGATGCTCATACATACATGTTTCTCCATGAACGTCAATCCTGCATTTTCAGCCTTCTTAAACTCCAAGATGCAAATCCATAATACTCCCCTGAAGCAGTTCATTGGATTTGAATTTTACTATGTCTCCATTTGGAAGTTCCAAGAAATCAGAACTTGAAAGGAACTTGTTATTCCTTTACAGCACTTACTTGTTCTTTTATACCCTTTTTTCTTCAATCATTAATTAAACAAAACATGTTCCTGTGTAGAGAACAAAAACATGTTTTGTTACTAAACAAAAACAGACACTATGTGTAGAGGACTATCAGGCTTTGGAAGATTTCAAAAGCAGGAAATAGAGTTCCTATGTCTTAGATCAGGAGATTATGATGTAGTTGAAGAGTCCCAACATGCATGAGCTAAGCAGCTAATAGATGTGAAAGTTAATATTAGCATCAACAACCTAAAGTGTATCAAGCATTGGGATGATTGGTGCAAAAGGAAATTAGTCTTAGCTCTTAGAGGAAGAATTAACGTCAAGATGTGAATGCCTAGAGAGGGTGTGGACCCATGGAAGGACTGAATCTACCCATAAAACACAAGCAACTAAGTCATCCTGTTGAAAAGTGCCAACGTAATGAAAGTAGAATATCCTGAGAAATGCAGGTTTGGGTAAGATAATTAGATTTTGGGGCTGGGGTGTGCTTGCATGGTCCTTTTCCCACTTTGGAAATCAGTATACCAATATGTTCTCCCTTTAGATTATTCCTCTGATATACGATAACAGAGGACCTCATGAAAGCTGATATACAAAAATTAATTCAAGATGGATTAAAGACTTACATGTTAGACCTAAAACCATAAAAACCCTAGAAGAAAACCTAAGCAACACCATTCAGGACATAGGCATGGGCAAGGACTTCATGTCTAAAACACCAAAAGCAGTGGCAACAAAAGCCAAAATTGACAAACAGGATCTAATTAAACTAAAGAGCTTCTCCACAGCAAAAGAAACCACCATCAGAGTGAACAGGCAACCTATAGAATGGGAGAAAATTTTTGCAACCTAGTCATCTGACAAAGGGCTAATATCTAGAATCTACAATGAACTCAAACAAATTTACAAGAAAAAAACAAACAACCCCATCAAAAAGTGGGTGAAGGATATGAACAGACACTTCTCAAAAGAAGACATTTATGCAGCCAAAAGACACATGAAAAAAATGCTCATCATCACTGGCCATCAGAGAAATGCAAATCAAAACCACAATGAGATACCATCTCACACCAGTTAGAATGGCGATCATTAAAAAGTCAGGAAACAACAGGTGTTGGAGAGGATGTGGAGAAACAGGAACACTTTTACACTGTTGGTGGGATTGTAAACTAGTTCAACCATTGCGGAAGTCGGTGTGGCGATTCCTCAGGGATCTAGAACTAGAAATACCATTTGACCCAGCCATCCCATTACTGGGTATATACCCAAAGGACTATAAATCATGCTGCTATAAAGACACATGCACACGTATGTTTATTGTGGCAATATTCACAATAGCAAAGACTTGGAACCAACCCAAATGTCCAAGAATGATAGACTGGATTAAGAAAATGTGGCACATATACACCATGGAATACTATGCAGCCATAAAAAATGATGAGTTCATGTCCTTTATAGGGACATGGATGAAGCTGGAAACCATCATTCTCAGCAAACTATCGCAAGGACAAAAAAACAAACACCGCATGTTCTCACTCATAGGTGGGAATTGAACAATGAGAACACGTGGACACAGGAAGGGGAACATCACACACTGGGGACTGTTGTGGGGTGGGGTGAGGGGGGAGGGATAGCATTAGGAGATATACCTAATGCTAAATGATGAGTTAATGGCACAGGTATACATATGTAACAAACCTGCACATTGTGCACATGTACCCTAAAACTTAAAGTATAATAATAATAATAATAATAATAATAATAAAAAGATTTGTTGAGAACAACTGGACCCAAATTCCACAATAAGAACATACAGATTTTCAGTCCTGTCAGGAACTGAAGAGGTGATCAAGTGATTTATCAACCTTTGATTCCTCCCTACTAAGGAACAAATAACCCATTGCCATGCAGGCTCTGTCAACAGCTCTTGTCCAGTCTAGATTTATTTCTGTGTGTCCTGAGATATTCTCATCATTTACTCTGGGCGCAATGCAGTTTGCTTCTTGCTTCAGGGCCTCTATCTTAGTCTTTGCTTATGGACTTTCTCAAGATACAAATTCTGCCTGTCAGTTTCTCTGCTGTGCTCTGAGCCCACTGTTTTGATGGCTGCATTCCCCTTTGTGTGATTAGTGTTTTCCTTCTTGCTGAGGTAATGGGAGTGAATATGTAAACCCCTCTGGGGGTAGAATAGCCTCTTCCTCTTTGGTTTCCTAAATGAAAGCAAATCTCTCACTCACATAGGCCTCAGGAGCACCACATTTCCAGTACAACACAATTAAACAACACACTGGTAAGAGTAACTCCAGTGTTAATTTACTTTATACCAGTTACTCTGGATAATGTACCACACACTGTACAAGTGAATGGGAAGTGGATGAAGAATGAGAGAAGATCAGAGTGGATAGAATTGGGGGAGGCAGAGAAAGCACCCTGAAGGAGGTGAAGGGGCTAGGTTTTATAGTTTGGTAGAGAGATGGTTAACGGATATTTGAAATAAGAAAAATAGCATGGGTAAAAGTACAATGGTGGGAATACACAAGTCATCCCAGAAAAATTAAGGCAATTGCACAAAAGTAGAGTTATTGTTGTGGTACCATCGGGTTCTTAATGCAAATTAAAGTAGACTCTTCTTTCTTTACCTATACACTGGGAAGTCTTCCTATATTAACTAATACGTTAGAAGCATTGCAAGCCTTCTCTGGGGTTGATTTCTTCTTTCATGAGCTCATCAAATGTCAAAATATGTGCCTGAGAAAGCTAGTATTTATGCTTATTGGACTGCATCTTATTTAAAAAAAAGGACTCCAAAATTAATCTAGGCAGACTTTTATTTCATATTAACTACAAACTTTAGACAGGGGTGATGGGTAGGAAGCTCTCAGCTCTTCGCAGTTCTTTGACCCTTAGTCCTTGAACTTCTTTTATACCCGTAGCCCCCCAATTTGGTCTCTAGCTCCCTAGAGGGATGAGGGAGAACTCTTGCAGTTCTGGCCATGCGAGAAACAGAAAAGATCTGGGGCTAAAGGCCCAGCCAGATAAAGCAGCAGCCAGATGCCTGAAATGTTCTGCCTTACAGCTTCTGCAAAAGATTCTGAATGCAAAACCTTTTATGTTAGTCCATGAGACTGCTAAAATGTCTACTTTGATTTGATTTAAAATCTACTTTGATATGATTTACTCCTCCGAATCCAGAGATAATGTCTGCTCATGATTCAGGACCTTGCCAGGGGTCAAGGATTCCTCTACTGTGATCTTGAAAGATGTTTTTTTCAGTTGTTGAATTTCACTTAGAGTGTCCAACACTCTGAACATGAACCAATAGTAAATTTCCATTTTTCCCCTAATTTATATGTTACTTGAGTGAATATCTTGTTCTTTGTAACACTTCTAGCTTTTAT
Organism: Homo sapiens; assembly: GCF_000001405.40. Classification (NCBI taxonomy): domain Eukaryota; kingdom Metazoa; phylum Chordata; class Mammalia; order Primates; family Hominidae; genus Homo; species Homo sapiens. Next base: position 10,575,731 of record NC_000010.11, on the reverse strand, counting down.
CATCTATTCTGCACCAAACCTGTTTTAATTGGATGTGTTGACCTAAAAATTTAAACATATGACCTCAGTAGCCAGAGGGAAGCTAAGCTTTCAATTCTTGGAACAGACTGCACGTATTTGATGTTAGGTCAGACAGAGAAACCACATGGTGAGAGAGTCATCTTTTTACGTGATGGTGGAAAAGGTTATGAATTGGGAAAACAAAAAACTCAAACCCTGACATGTTGCATAAAACACACTCAACAAAAGAAAAACCTGTCTGGATTAGGTATTTTGCAAATGAACATTTCTTACATTTCTAGGAGAATAAATGTCCAACATAGAGCAAGTTTTGTGAGTACTTTATATAAAACGTCAATTGACAAAGGACAACTTTGGTTGATAAAGGAAAACAGGTATAACCTAAATGCAAAGCATGGATTAGCTCAGGCTCCTTCCATGAGTTAGACCTTATTCTACATCTAACACCCTTCAAGAATGGGTTAATAAGTAATGTGTTCTCTTGTGTTCTTTCATTCACGTTTTGGTTGCTATTATTAGAAGAAACAGGCTCAGTGAAACACCATATGTATAGAATGGTGATCAATTGTGCTTATATTTATTATTAAATTGTGAAGGCTGGGTTATTTTTCTTGACGTTATTAGGTATACTTAGCATTTTTAATAAGAACAACTAAATAAAAAGCCATTTGCTTGAATTTAAACATTAACATAGGTCAGGTGCGGTGGCTCACGCCTGTAATGCCAGCACTTTCGGAGGCCAAGGTGGGTAGATCACCTGAGGTCAGGAGTTCAAGACCAGCCTGGCCAACATGGTGAAACCCCATCTCTATTAAAAAAAAAAAAAAAAAAAAAAAAACCAGGCATGGTGGCGGGCATCTGTAATCCTAGCTAGTCAGGAGGCTGAGGCAGAAGAATTGCTTGAACCCAGGAGGCAGAGGTTGCAGTGAGCAAAGATCATGCCACTGCACTCCAGCCTGGGTGACAAGAGCAAAACTCCATCTCAAAAACAAAAACAAAACAAAAACAAAAAAACATTAACATACATACTGCCAGCTACAATGTTTGGGTTGTTTGTACATATTATACTTCACAAATACGAGAATACTTATTTTGAACAAAAACAGCTTTCTTTCCTGTTTGTCACTATTTTCATGAGAAGACCCATACTTTTTAAAATTAAATGGAACTGTTGTTAAACCTCTTTGAATTAAAAATTTATCCCTTGTTACCAGCTCACCACTAATCATTAGTAACAAGTTGGTTGGTGGATCATAACACGTTTCTCATTAGCTTTTTATTCTTCGCTTTTTTCCTTAACCTGTGGAGTAGGCAATTATCTCTTCCTGCCCAGCACGGCATGGCCCCCACTAGCAGAATTTCATGCCTTCAGTGTGCTTCTTGCACAATCCTTCTTCTACTTTGTCATCAGTTGGTCCTACTGATGACAGTCCTACTGCCTTCACTATATCATTTACTTGCTCAAAAGCCTTCTATTGGTCTGCAGTGCCTGTGGGATAATGTCCTTGGCTTTCAAAGTTCTTTACCATCTAATCTTTATTTCCCATGATTCCCATATAACCCTCCTTTATTTAAGAGAGTGGATTCTATGAAATATGTCTTCTGAGTCCCAAATTTGTATTCAGGCCATTTTTAACTTCCCAACTTCTCTTTAAAATACAAAATTTCTGAGGTCCTCTGTGACCAGATCAGATCAAATTGATCCTTCTTGACTATGAACATGCAGAACAATTTTTTTTAAACCAGAAGAATACTTCTCTTTGGCATTTAATACTTATTGGCTTTTACAGAATAATATATAAATAAAAATATGCAAATAAAAACTCTGGAAAGTAGGGGCTTGGTCTTATAGTTCTTTGCATCCCTGTGACACTGAAATCATCACCTTAAATGTGTGAGGATCTCAATGAATATTTTTGATTGACTATTTTTAATCCCATAAAAGCTGAAACGATTATGTTGAAACTTGATCAAATAAAATATTCTATTTCTCATTTAATCTGAGCTTTATTTACAGATTTTAATTTACAGAAAAATAGATGTAAGATGTAAGATGTTTGCATATTTTATTTGTAATCAATAAAAACAATAAAAATGTAAGTACATGTGCTCACAAGATCTATTTCCTGCTCTTATTTCATTGAACTGGAAACTTCTTGAGAAAAAGAATTCTGCATCTCTTTGGTACAGATTACCACCCCAAAGAAAAACATATAGTCCCACTGAACCCTTGGACACACAACGGAATTGAAAGTCATTGCAGTCAAGGTATAAAAACTCTTCTATAAAGGCAAAGATTTCATGATGAAATCACCAAAACGATTGCAGCAAAAGCAAAAATTGACAAATAGGATCTAATTAAAGAGCTTCTGCACAGCCAAAGAAACTATCCTCAGAGTGAACAGGCAACCAGCAGAGTGGGAGAAAACTTTTACAATCTATCCATCTGACAAAGGTTTAATATCCAGAATCTACAAGGAACTTAAACAAAGTTACAAGAAATAAAAACAAACAACCCCATTAGAAAGTGGGCAAAGGACATGAACCTACACTTCTCAAAAGACATTCATGCAGCCAACAAACACATTATAAAAAGCTCAACAACACTGATTATTAGAGAAATTCAAATCAAAACCACAATGAGCTACACCAGTCAGAATGGCAATTATTAAAAAGTCAAGAAACAACAGATCCTGGCAAAGGCTGTGGGGAAATAGGAATGCTTTTACACTGCTGGTGGGAATGTAAATTAGTTCAACCATTGTGGAAGATGGTGTGGCGATTCCTCAAAGATCTAAAACCAGAAATACCATTTGACCCAGCAATCCCATTACCAGGTATATACCCAAAAGAATATAAATCATTCTATTACAAAGATACATGTACACGTATGTTCATTGCAGCACTATTCACAATAGAAAAGACATGGAAACAACCCAAATGCCCATCATCGATGATAGACCGGATAAAGAAAATATGGTACATATACACCATGGAATATTATGCAGCCATAAAAAGGAATGAGATCATGTTCTTTGCAGGGACACAGTTGGAGCTGGGAGGCATTATCCTCATTAAACTAATGCAGGAACAGAAAACCAAACACCACATGTTCTCACTTATAAGTGGGAGCTGAACAATGAGAACACATAGACACAGGGAGTGGAACAACACACATTGGGGCTTGTCAGGGGAGGTGGGGTGGGGGAGGGAGAGCATTAGGGAAAATAGCTGATGCATGCTGGTTTAATACCAAGGTGATGGGTTGATAGGTGCGGCAAACCACCATGGCACACGTTTACCTATGTAACAAAACTGCATCTCCTGTACACATGCCCTGGAACTTAAAATAAAAAGAAAAATTAAAAAAAAAAGAAAAAACCAACCGAACAAAAACTGTTTCATGAATCCTGAGATTAAGTCAGAAGATTTAATACAGAGATATCCAGAAAGAACAAGGGACCTCAATAGAAAATATACTGCTCTTAATGATTAAAAAAAAAAGTCTGAATTCCCTTTATATTTAATTTAAACCTTGCAAATGGGACTTCTTAAAGAACCATTCTGCAGTGCAGGTCATGGGCCCAGACTCTCTCAGGGACTAATACCATACGTGTTGCCATTAATTAGGTGTAAAACAGAACATTACACTTTCTAAAGCTATTCTCCATGGCCACGGCCACATTCTTACAACATGCTCTGCCCCACTGAGGTGAATCCCATCAGACTGTTCTGCCTCCCTCTCTTATTGACAGCAATAAGAGTATTGCTGTGACTGATGGACTGTGTCCTCCCTCTCTTTATTTATTAAAGTCTTGGGTTCCAGACCCTCTGTCCTCTCCTCATTCCTACGCTCATCTCATCCTGAGAAATGATAGAATTCCGTCCGTGCCTATACTTCACTTCTAAATTTTTACACTCTGGCTTATCTCATGACCCACGGTCACTCCATTAGATACCCCTGAAATCTACTGCAAGAATCTGCTGTCCGACTCAGCCTTACAAGCATCCTGATAGCAATCTTTCCTTGATCTCATTAAGACCTCCTAATGATGCCCCATGTACCCTCCCAGTCATTTTTGCATTATTAACAACAGCTCAGATGCCTTCACTTTCTTTATAACTCAATTTACAACCCATGGTCGCTTTTATTATTACTGCTTGGTACAAACTGTCACCAAACTTGACTTTCTCTCCTGCTCTTGAATTCGTGTGGCAAAAGCCTATTTGCCAATACTTCAGCAGCTTAATAACTATAGGTTCTGGAGAAATATTATATTATTTGGGCGATTGGATGCACTTTATTATTTTATTACTGTCAACAGTCCATAATATTTACTATTTTAAGCAATATCTTTCTTGCAGTGCCTTCCCAGGCCAGCCAACCAGCCAAATGTGTCTGCTTTTTACTGACTGAAGTACGTTCTTTACTAATAGATTTAGTAAATGTCTGTGGATGGTAAATGCTCTAATGTCTTCAACTGTCTGAATATTTTGCTTTTCTGTCATTTTGCTAAATTCCAGTCAATCTAATTCTCGCATTTGTTTATGTTTTTTTCAGTCCTCTGATGCTGGCCTGCCATTTGCTTCTGAAAGTATTAAATTATGGCTGATGAAAAGGCCGACGGTTATGTAATTGCCTGTTTCTTTCAAGTCACCTTTCTTTTCTCTCTAGAAGCTCTTAAGATTTTAATATTAACCTTGATGTACTTTTATTTAATTACAACTCATTTCAGTGAGGCTTTGATTTTATTTAACCAGCTTAGTATTCAGAGCGCACTTTCAACCTCAAAAAAGCTACTCATCTTTTTTTTCCTGCAAAAATCTCAGAAACATGTCTTCACATATTGTTTTCCCACCATTTCCTGCATGCTCTTCTTCTGAAACTCTCTTTAGACATATGCTGAAGCTTCTTGAGCTATCTTCAACATCTCCTAACTTCTCATTCATGCTTTTAACGTTGTTATCAATGTTCCAGGTAAATTTCTCAGTACTATCTTCCCACTTGCTAATTCTCTCCTTAACTGTGCTACTCTTATATTGTGGCATCTTACATTGTGGCAAATATATACATATTTATTTATTTATATACAGATATTTTTAATTTTAGTAATTTAGTTTTAATTACTAGATTTCTAAGTGGGTCTCTTTCATATCCACCCATTTTAGCCTTTTTCTTTACATTTTAGTAATCTTTTAAAATTGGTATTATTCTTTCATTTATCTCTTTGAACATCCTAAACATTTATATAAAATTCCTTTCACCTGGGGTGAATTTGTGTTTTGCTTGTTGACTTAGATGCTGGCTTCTTGGGAATAAATATTGGTTGTTAAGTTCATCTTGAGCTGAGGTTTTCTGTTTTCTCTGTCTCTCACTTGCTTTTGGTTAATCTCAATTCATTCCTTGCCTCCACCCTGCTCCTGGGATGCACAATGTGGAACCACATCTTACAATTGTGCTTCAGGGCTCTTCAGGCCATTGACTGATCCAGGAGGTGGGTTTGACTTGGCTTCTCACCCTGAGGCATTGCTGCTCTGCTCCCCTCAATGCCCTTGTAGACCCACAGCTCCCTATATGCAAGACCTCAGGTCTCAGGTGAGCAACTGCCTCATGTTATGACACCTCAATGTGGGAGGCACTAGATTGGTTTCTCAACTACCTTTTCTTCTTCCTGTTATCTAGAGAGGTTGGGAAGCCAGTGCACTCTCTTTCAGTTATAATTTACATTCTGCCAATGAGGTATATCCATGCTAGATTTGGGAGGAAGTAAGACAGAGGCAATCTTCCTGAAGATTCTGTTTGTCTCTGCTGGGTAGCAAGGTCATAGTTCTCCTGAAGCAGTTTCTGGTGAACATTCTCCTGATGTCCAGAGTTTTCCATGACTGTGGCAGCATCTAGCAGTCTAAGACAGCATAGCTCCCAAAGCCACTGAAGTTGTGACTCCCCAGTGTCTAGTTCATGGTGTTTCAGGAGTCATTCCAAGAAGTCCACCTGGAAACTGCTTCTTCAATCCTCCCAATGATTTCTGAAAGTACTGATTCTTTGCATTGAATTCCTCTCTCTTTAAAATGTATAGGGTGCTTTTTGTTTCTTCTGCACAACCCAACTGATACACACATCTTAACCCTAGCTTCACAAATGAGCCTGGATTAAAATATATTTTATCCTTTACTGATAGGGTTTGGCTGTGTCTCCACCCAAATCTCATCTTGAATTGTAGCTCCCATAATTCCTATGTGTTGTGGGAGGGACCCCGTTGGAGATAATTAAATTATGAGGACAGTTTCCTCCATTTCCTCCATACTTTTCTCGTGGTAGTGAGTAAGTCTCATGAGATCTGATGGTTTAATAAGGGAAAATCCCTTTCTCTTGGTTCTCATTTTCTCTCTTTGCCTCCTGCCAGTTTAGACATGCCTTTGTCCTTCCCTTGCCTTCCCCCATGATTGTGAGGCCTCCCCAGCCAGATGGAACTGTGAGTCCATTAAACGTCTTTTTCTTTATAAATTACCCAGTCTCAGGTATGTCTTTATCAGCAGCAGGAAAATGGACTGATAAACTTACCAAATCCCAGAAAATTCTCAGTCATCAATGCCTGATTTTTGACCAGTAATTAGCAGCCCCCTTTCTTCCACTGCCATAGTTTTCTGCTCTGTTTCAAGTAAATGATGGTGATATCTTCTTTCTAAGATCAATCTAGCCTTTTTTCTATTTTATTTCTCCTTGCTACAGGTTGGAGGAGAAGGAATGGCCTGAAAGCATAAATTTATTACAATATTGTAACTAGAAGTCGCTTCTTTAAATTGAGTGTAGTTCAGATTTATGGCCATAGGCTCCAATAGGTACTCAAGACCACCTCTTTCAATTCCACCATACTTCCCTAGTAAACCAGCTTTTTCTTTCTCCAAATTGAGAACTTCAAAACCTTTCCCCTCTTTTTAAACCCTCCCTAACCCTCCTCCTCACTCACATTTTTCACTAAGAAAATAAAAGCCAACAAAATGAAACTCCTTTCTTTCTCTATCATTACATCCACAAACCGCCATGCCTCTGTGCAGATCTTCTTTGCTTGCCTTCCTGTTACATCCAAGAAAGGTACCAGTATTGCTGTAGGCAAAGTCAACTTCAGATCTGCACCAGATTCCATTATATCTTGGCTCCTCTAAACGAAGGGTGAGCAAACTCTTTTGGTAGAGGTCCAGATAGTAACAAAAAATGTTAGGCTCTTCGTCACAAGGACTCAAGTCTGCAGATGTGGCATGAAAGTAGCCATAGGTGATAAGCAACCAAGAGGTTATGCTTTTGTAAACTTCATTTACAAAACAGATGCTTCCTCCAATTGTAGGCAGTAATTTGCTGATCCCTGATCTGGGACCTTTCTTCTTCACTTACTTTTTTTTTTCTCCGGACTCATCCTCCCCTTCCTCTCTAATCATCTGCCTTGTAAATAATCTTACACCCATATCAAGTATCTTTTTGGAATCTTGTCCTCCTGCAGTTACCATCCCATGCTTTCAAATGGATTGTTTGCTCTCATTCTCTCAACTTCTTCATTTATTCTTTAATCCTTTCTACTTGAAAGGACTCTATTTAAAGCAGCCTTGCCTCCTTTTACTTCCTATCTTATCACCCTTTGCTTTATAGTACTTACACCCTGTAATTATTTTGTTTTTCTTTCTTCTGTGTATACCCTCTACCTTATTCCCCAGAGTGAGAGTTCCAGGAGGGTAAGGATGTGGTCAGCTTTGTTCATTGCTTAATCACTGGGTACCCTAATCATGGATTGTAGGAGTTTTGTAAATATCTGTTGAATGAATGAATGAAGGAATCCAAAATGCTGTTTTAGACCCTGTGGTATGCTGCCTAGATCTGTTCTCCAGGATTTATTTCCCCAGCTGCTGGGAGTCCTGCCAGAAGGTAGACTTTTTTGGAAGTATCTCCGCTCAAGGGGGCCACATCACCCAAAGTCATGGCCCCTTCCTGGGGAGGCCTTCATCCAGTGAAAGATCAGGGTAGGGGGTTGCTAATAACTGGTCAAGATTCAGGCATCGACGCCTGAGCATTTTCTGGGATTTTGGTATCAATGTAGGAGATATACAGGCTTGAACCCCTTTGCCTCATCTCAGGTTGACTCCGAAGGGTCACCCCACCTTAAGAGTTCCTAGTAGCCTGCTGAAGCCTCTGTTGATGCATAAAAGCTTGGCTTATTTTCCCGCCCCATTCTGCTTCTCTGCCTTCCTTCCCTGCCTTTCCCTTGGGTATTGATTCCAAGAGCACTCCCAGATAAACCTCCTATACTTGAATCTCTAGTTTAGAGCTAGCTTCCCCAGGGAACCCGACCTGTGACACTTGCTGAAGTTTAATTGATCTATAAATGGCAACATAGGATTCAAACTACCTCTACTTGAATTTTAAAGTCAATGCACTTTTCCTGGTCGGTTTGTTGGAAGTGTAACACGATTCTCTAGTTTTAAAATAAAGGCAGTTTATTTCTATTCCTTCTTCAGGTGTCTCTACCATTAAAACTGACTTAACAATAGAGGAAATGTTTAGTCACTGAATCTATTTGTATCTATTATTTAGAAGAAGTCTACCTGGAAATTTTGCTCTTATTTTATTCAGACTGTCTTTTCTTAAATGAACACTGTCCTTTTCTGCATAAACATCCAGTTCACTTTTATCTTCGCGGCAGATGTGAGCAATACTTCAATATGTATATTTATGCATATGTGGAGGTAAATATGTGTGCCTCTAAAAGCCAAATGCCATGCATGTTCTTTGGCTATAGCTTGTATAATCTGAGTAAATATAAAAATTTAAGTAGAGATCGGTGGAAGAGGCCCATTCTAGGATAGTTACTTATTTTCAAGAAGCCAAAACAATCTCTAGCAGTGTTTTGATAACATCACAATATGATAGCCTTGAAAAATCTAAAGTCTTTTGGACTCAGCATAGAATTCAGCTCTAATCTATTTACATATGTTGTGAACAAAAGATGGCAACCTGAGGGTTTATAAAAGGTGGCTGTTTCATCTTCTTTTTCTCAAAGCATATTCTCACTCATAGGTGGGAATTGAACAATGAGATCACTTGGACACAGGAAGGGGAATATCACACTCTGGGGACTGTGGTGGGGTCGGGGGAGGGGGGAGGGATAGCATTGGGAGATATACCTAATGCTAGATGACGAGTTAGTGGGTGCAGTGCACCAGCATGGCACATGTATACATATGTAACTAACCTGCACAATGTGCACATGTACCCTAAAACTTAGAGTATAATAAAAAAAAAAATTAAAAAAAAAAAAAAATCCCTAAGTGCCTTTCTGTTGTGCTATTGTGGAAGGTCCTTGCAAGAACCTAGAGCAGCACAATCACTGGCAACTGGGACACTATTTTTTTTTTCCTGCATGTTTGCTGTGGAAGTGAATGGGAAGCCCTGCAAAGTGCTGAGGTCCTTGGACCTCAGTTTGATCCCATCTAGAGAGATTATGGTTCACATTTTCCCTGGAGCCTTCTTTTAAAATGACATCTATTAAAACCTAATATGCTTATCCCTGGACTCCTAGTTCCTTGAGGGTAAAGACCATGCATGGTTCTGTTTTGTGTCCTCACGTGTTGGATAAAATCTTGCCACATTAAATACACATATAGGTTAGAATGGGTTGGGATAGAGTTCCATGTAATTTCCAAAGTTCTGTTTTATATAGCTTCTCAAGTGCAAGAAAAGGAGAAAATGATGCAAAATTAGAAGCATGTTTAATTTCTGCTAACTAAAGCATAAAGTCAAGTACGGCAACCTCCACTGCCTCATTAATTGCTGACCCTTAATTAAAGGTATCATACATCATTAAGGACTGAGCCTAAATAAAGTAAATGCAAAATTAGATAAGCATAGCTATTACCTTAATATGAAGCTAATGTAGCTCCATCTTTAATGATCACACAAATAGGCTCTCAGGCTGAAGTAACAGATATTTGCATTACCGTGCTTATTAAAAGGAAGTCTGTAAGTCCAAAATTCTTCCTTGCAGAGAAATTAAGGAACACACACAAAGTCTTCCAAAGTCTTATATATTCTTACACCAGAAGCATCCAGGAATGACCCAGAGAGTCTTCTCATGGTGGCCTTTGGACCCTCTAGAGCCAGGTCTTACAAAAGTTAGAATAAGGAGCGGCGTTGCTCATCCAACACATCTGCTTAGGGCTAGACAGATTAAGGATAATGAGAGATTCCAGTCATTCTCTTTTGAGGAAGCCCCTCTTCCTATTCATTTGAAAGCATTTTTATTCTGCATGTTTCTTCTCTACCTCCCCTTTGCAGGGGTCTATCCCTGTGGGTTTATGAGAGCCGTCATCACAGGCTGGCATTTCAGAACTGACTTATTATTTCAGTCACTTGTTACATAACTAGGAAAGCAGGTCAACATTGCTCTTAACATTTTCTGGAAAAATTAAGGAGAAAAGGCTGCAAGGGACTTGTTCAGTGTTGTCCCAGCCAGTGTACAGGGACTTCAAGTGCTCAGATAATAGCCTGGGCCACTTGACTGAATGCCTCTCCTCACCCTACCTTCTCTCGAACCCGAGTGAGAAAATAAGCCCCTTTATCAATTAATTAAGGAACATGGGCTCTGGAGCCAGGCCAATTTGGGTTAAAAATTCCATGTCTGACACATTCGGCTGTACAATCCTGGAAACTTTTCTTTCCCTGAGCGTGCATTTCTTCATTTGTACAAAAGTGAAAATCCTGATCTCATGGAGTCATAATGAAATGATTTATGCAGAGCTCTTACCACAGTGCCTGGCACATTGTAGGTTGCTTATTAACTGGGAGCCTTTTTATTTGTGTATTGATTTGACTAGTGATTTCTTCTGGAGGTAGTTTGAGTGTGCCTTCCATTTGCTTTTCTTGGTGGAGGTAGGAAGGGCAGATTGTTTAGAGCACTGTGGAACCCAAGCCTGGGTTTGCATTTTGGCACTTGGCTGCTTTTCTTCGTGGAGAAAGTGTGTGTGTGTGTGTGTGTGTGTGTGCGTGTGTGCGTGTGTGTGTGTGTGTGTGTGTGTGTGTGTGTATTCAGTTAACAAGACATACCGGTCTTAGAAGAGGAAAGGGCAAGGTGTAATGAGTCAGAAACAGATGAAAAGGGTAAAGAGGTGATGAAAATGGTCATCAACACTTTTGTCTTTGTCCCTGGTGACTTTTACATAGTCATAATTCCAGCGATTTGCTGTAAAACATATCTTCACAGGTGTGATGGGTTGAAATAAAAAGAGGAGAAAAATCAGTTGTGCACCAAGAAATCAAAATGTTCGCTTTTTAAAAAATCTTAATTAATTCCTTATGCCAAGTCCCAGTAAGGACTCCACCCAGCTCTTCCTGGCAAATGTGTTGATGTGTCGCCATTTCTGCTGATGCATTTCTGAGCTGAGCTGCAGGGGATGTCATGTGTTGCGGTAATTGCCATGGAAACCATTGTCATCGAATGAATAGAGAGGCTTTAAATCCTTGGTGATGAGCCTGAGAACCTAAGTAGGTCTTCAAGTTTAACTTGCTTGGAAGTGTTGGAAGTGGTTTACACTTTACACAGAGGCATTGGAGGCAAAAGGTAGCGAGCAAAGGATGGGAGAGAGGAAGTTATTTTTTGTATGCAAATAAAATAACCTAACATGTTATACTTCTACTTGCACTTTTTAATGAGAAAACAAACACCGAAGATGCATAGCATCAAGCCTCAAACTTTGAGCCACACTCTTGCGTGTTGAACCAAGTGTCACTTTGATACATTACACTTAAATCAACACTTCTCAATTCACCTCTCACAAATCTCAACAAATGTGAGTGTTAACTATTTTTAAGGCAACTTATTCTGAGGCTTATCTAGATGGTGAGATCCCTGCAGGTGAGGCCCCGTTTTGTTCTTTGTGTTTCTGCAGGTCCACAGAATACACATTACATAGAATGGACCTTCACAGAACACACAGCCTCAGGTTTCTTCCATTTGAAGCATGATGAGAAATGATCAGCGAGTACAGGAATCCCACCCCGCCATCAGCAATTTCTTAGAATCTCTATCTTCCCCTTGCCCTTTTTTTTTTTTTTTTTTTTGAGACACAGTCTCCCTATGTCGCCCAGGCTGGAGTGCAGTGGCGCAATCTTGGCTCACTGCAACCTCCGTCTCCTGGGTTCAAGCGATTCTCCTGCCTCAGCCTTCCAAGTCTGGGATTACAGGCCCACACCACCATGCCTGGCCAATTTTTGTAGTTTTAGTAGAGACGGGTTTTGCCATGTTGGCCAGGCTGGTCTTGAGCTCCTGACCTCAAGTGATCCACTCACCTCGGCCTCCCAAAGTGCTGGGATTAGAGGTGGGAGCCACTGTGCCCAGTCTCTATCCTCTCTTTCCTTCGTAAGTAGGAAAAGAGATCCTTCTGAGATCCTCCCACCCTACCCCTTGCCCAGGATCCTTCCTGGCTGGGTGTCTTCTAGGAGGACAGTGGTGGCAGCAGCGTCAGTAGAGACAGAAAACGAGGGCTGAAATTTGGGAAGGTAAGCCTTTCTTTCTCCCCAGATGGCTTCAAGACTTCTATCTGACTCTTCCCTCTCCTCCAGAGATCCTATGGCATTCACGGGGCTAGGATGGAAGCCACTTCCTGAACATTTACATGGCAACCATGTCATTCTCCAGAGGTTTTAATAAAAGAAAAGAGAAGGTGGGGAGGAGGAAGGACCAGAGGACCAGGTCTTCGTATTCTGTCCCTTTATCTTTGTTCCTAGCTTTAAAAAAAAAAAATGCCTTAGACTTCCTGAAGTTTCAGTGCTGCCTTAGAAATAGTTACTGCCCCATGGCAAGCCTGAGAAAGATAGTCCTTGGCTGGACGGAGCATACGGCTGTGGAGGGCAGGGAGGTAGGCTGTGGAGGGCAGGGAGGTAGGCTCCGTATCTGACCTGGAAGTGAAAGGAAATAAAAGGGAAGGAATGGGAAGAGGAAGGGAAGACAGAGGAGGGAAAGGACCAATGCAGTAGAAACTGTGAGGGGTCAAAGCTTGTGTGGGTAACTTCAGGAATGAGAACCTTCCTTTCTAAGTCCCCTCATTCCTGTTTTCCAAGGGAGACACGGTGAGGTCGCTAGAAAGGACAGCATGAACGCTCCGGAGCCGGGCTGCTCAGGAGAGAGTCTTGGATCTGCCACTACTCTCTGCAAATTACTTAACCTCTTCATGCTTCACTCTCACCCTATTTAAAAAGTGGATAATTATAGCACATATGCTGAAGAATGATTGGGAAGATTGATACAACACTACACAAACATTTCTTAGACATCATAGTAAATGATCAATATATGTAAGCGATTAGGATTATTCATCACTAATTGTGCATAACTATCCCTTTGGCTCTTCATTGAGCCAGAAACACAGCCTGTCTGCAGAAGTCATAATTCACAGTTTTATGTGGAGAATCTGCCCACCATCTACACAAGGGGATTAGTGGAGATGGAGAGAAAAGTGTTGCCAGAGGGTGTGTGTGTTGTTTTCGTGCTATTTTAGAGTGACTACAGCTGGAAATCCAGCAATTCTAAAATCTTGTCCTAATAACCTCTCCACTGGGGGAAGTTCTCAAGGGAATTCTAGGCAACCAACAGCAGTGTTGATTGGTCACCTTGGTAGGGTTGGAGCCTTCTGGTAAGTGATGGAATTGAAGCTAAAAGCTTGCATTTTCCTTGCAGAATTTAATCCTGGTATCGCATCACTCTCTAGCCAGTCTTATGAAGAAATGAAGTCAAGGAGAAAGTGAGAGCAGGGGGGCTGAACCTGCACCTAGGCCCTGGGGGAAAAAGAAAGGCTTACCTTCCCAAATTTCACCCCTTGTTCTCTGTCTCTACTGACGCTGCTGCCACCACTGTCCGTCCTAGAAGACACCCAGCCAGGAAGGGTCCTGGGCAAGGGGTGGGGTGGGAGGATCTCAGATATGTACAAAGGAAAGGGAGGATTGAGACTGGGCACAGTGGCTCCCACCTCTAATCCCAGCACTTTGGGAGGCTGAGGTGAGTGGCCATAATGCCACCTTCTCAGTGGTGTTGTCCCCATCTGTCCCACCTTAAAATACAACACCTACAATTCCCCATTCCATTTCTCTTCCTTATTTTTCTCCTTAGCACTCATCAAAATCCAAGATACTTAATGTCTTAATTCTCTTGTTTATTGAAGATCACTCAGGACTAAAATGTAAACTCCATGAAGAAAGGGATTTTGTTCTATTTTGTTTACTGCTCTGTCTCAGCAACTGAAGTACTTAACATGTATTTGTTGAATGAAGGAAGTGAAGAAAGGAAATGGAGCATGACTATGTACTTTCCAACACATAGGAGCTTAAGCCCAGCCCAATAAATGTCCTGGAGTGCTCAGCAGTCATATCCACTAGTCTTCTCCCGGGGTTGGGTCAGAGTGTGGCTGGAAAGGGGAGAGGGCAAATAGTCATGGGTCTGGTAGACGGAGAAGAGACTGAAAAATTCTTTTTTTTTCCAATAGAAGAGGAAATTTTTAAAAATTTTATTTTTCCATAAGTTATTGGGGTATCAGTAATATTTGATTACATAAGTTCTTTAGTGGATATTTGTGAGAGCCTGGTGCACCCATCACCTGAGCAGTATACCCTGTACCATATTTAATATCTTTTATCTGTCACCCCCCTCCCACTCTTGCCCCCTAAGTTTCCAAAGTCCATTGTATCATTCTTATGCCTTTGCATCCTCATAGCTTAGCTCCCACATATCAGTGAGAACATACGATGTTTAGTTTTCCATTGCTGAGTTACTTCCCTTAGAATAATAGTATCCAATCTCATCCAGGTCACTGAAAATGCTGTTAATTCATTCCTTTTTATGGCTGAGTAGTATTCCATTGTATATATATATCAGAGTTTTTTATCCACTCATTGATGGGCATTTGGGTTGGTTCCACAATTTTGCAATTGTGACTTATGCTGCTATAAACATGCGTGTACAAGTATCTTTTTCAAATAATGATTTTTTTTTCCCCTCTGGGTAGATACCCAGTAGTGAGATTGGTGGATCAAATGGTAGTTCTACTTTTATTTCTTTAAGGAATCTCCATACTGTTTTCCATAGTGGCTGTACTAGTTTGCATTCACACCAGCAGTGTAAAAGTGCTCCCTGATTGCCACATCCTTACAAGTGGAGGGAACCGGTGAGTGAATCAAAGACAGGGTAGGATGGATCTGAGAATATTACCCCTCATCCTGCCAGGTAGAAAGCTGGACTAAAGTCACATTCTGGACTTATTTTCCAATGGAAACATTAGATGGTTGGTAATCCGTTAGTAATAGTTCATTATATTTCAAGGGCCATCCATAATATTGTCACAAGATGAAAACTTACATTCTACATTTCAAACAACAATAAGCTGTATGTTTTTGTATGCCTGCATTTGATCTATGCTTACCTGTATTTCCTTTTGGGAAAGAAAAAGGAAGAGGAGGAGTACTCACCTTAGAAAGAATGAATTCAGAGTCAAGTTCTCTTTTCGAGTTGACTACAGGGTACTATTATGGGGCAGCTATACTTGGGAAGCTGACCTGTGTTTGGGAAGCCTGTCCAGAGCCATAATAGATTTCAGCCAGATTGAGGATTTCGAGACATTGAGCCCTCATTCCAAATTTCCTCTTTTACTGAGACTAATTGGTTGGTAAGCCAGCCTCAAGCCCTGCACAGTCAGCTTTGCCATATACACTACAGAAGTACAGGGAGTCATCAGGGACTTCTAAAGCTTCATCAAATGGTAAATTTGCATTCAATAACGATTTTAGTGCAAATTTTTATACTCCTAGAGCTGCTTAGTAAAAATCATGGCTAAGGTTGTGGAGGCCATAGTCACATGGGGAGAATGCAGCAGGCGGTGCACAGCAGTCCACATGTGCGTGAAGGGAATTTGGCTTTGCTCATTTTCTTGTTATTTGCTATGAATCCTACCTTACAATTCTCAGATAGGCCATTTAAATGCACTGGAGATGTAGATGACTTACAATTATCAAAGGGTTAAGAAGGCCCTTTCCAAATAATAATGTCTTTCCTTCTGTCTGTTTCAGTGTATTATTTCTACCATGTATTAGGATCACTGCTGGTGCTTAAGTCAATATGGTGACACTCACAGCAACATCAGCACTATCTTACCCACCTGTGCCCATACATACATGATTAAAACAAAACCTTTGGTGGTGTTTTGAACAGCTAGTATATGTCAAACGCTGTGCTAGGCACTTTACATCGATTATCCAGAACCCTTGTAACATTCTGTGGGATGTTTAACTAATGAGGAAATTAAGATTAAGAGAGTTTAATAACTTGCCTATGGTCACATGGCTAATGAGTATGAGATTCAAAACCAGATGGCTACCAATCTCATTTTATTTTGCAACACTTTATGATTCTGGAGAAAACATCGAATTCTTCACATCACCAGTGACATAGGTCAGACATGCTTAATACTGATGAAGGAAGGAGATTTGAATTTTATGACACTTACTACAGTTTGTTATAAGACAGGTGGTTATTTAAATTTGCCCGCTCTGTGCCCTCAATGAAAAGTGTAAATGCCAGCAACACATGTATTTTTAAATCTTCTAGTAGCCACATAAAACATTTAAAAGAAATAGTTAAAATTAATTCTAAAGTAATATATCTAAAATATGATCACTTCAATATTAATATAAAAATTATTAATGAGATCTTCTTATATTATTCTTATGCTATGTCTTGGAAATTCAGTGTACATTTTATAATTTTAGCACAGTCTGTTCGGACTAGCTGCATTTAATAAGCTCAGTCACATGTGCCCAGTGAAATATAAACTACCATCAGAGAATACTATAAACCCCTCTAGGCAAATAACTAGAAAATCTAGAAGAAATGGATAAATTTCCTCGACACATACACCCTCCCAAGACTAAACCACGAAGAAGTTGAATCTCTGAATAGACCAATAACAGGAGCTGAAATTGTGGCAATAATCAATAGTTTACCAAGCAAAAAGAGTCCAGGACCAGATGGATTCACAGCCGAATTCTACCAGAGGTACAAGGAGGAACTGGTACCATTCCTTCTGAAACTATTCCAATCAATAGAAAAAGAGGGAATCCTCCCTAACTCATTTTATGAGGCCAGCATCATTCTGATACCAAAGCCGGGCAGAGACACAACAAAAAAAGAGAATTTTAGGCCAATATCCTTGATGAACATTGATGCAAAAGTCCTCAATAAAATACTGGCAAAACGAATCCAGCAGCACATCAAAAAGCTTATCCACCATGATCAAGTGGGCTTCATCCCTGGGATGCAAGGCTGGTTCAATATACGCAAATCAATAAATGTAATCCAGCATATAAACAGAACCAAAGACAAAAAACACATGATTATCTCAATAGATGCAGAAAAAGCCTTTGACAAAATTCAACAACCCTTCATGCTAAAAACTCTCAATAAATTAGGTATTGATGGGACGCATTTCAAAATAATAAGAGCTATCTATGACAAACCCACAGCCAATATCAGACTGAATGGACAAAAACTGGAAGCATTCCCTTTGAAAACTGGCACAAGACAGGGATGCCCTCTCTCACCACTCCTATTCAACATAGTGTTGGAAGTTCTGGCCAGGGCAATTAGGCAGGAGAAGGAAATAAAGGGTATTCAATTAGGAAAAGAGGAAGTCAAATTGTCCCTGTTTGCAGACGACATGATTGTATATCTAGAAAACCCCATTGTCTCAGCCCAAAATCTCCTTAAGCTGATAAGCAACTTCAGCAAAGTCTCAGGATACAAAATCAATGTACAAAAATCACAAGCATTCTTATACACCAACAACAGACAAACAGAGAGCCAAATCATGAGCGAACTCCCATTCACAATTGCTTCAAAGAGAATAAAATACCTAGGAATCCAACTTACAAGGGATGTGAAGGACCTCTTCAAGGAGAACTACAAACCACTGCTCAAGGAAATAAAAGAGGATACAAACAAATGGAAGAACATTCCATGCTCATGGGCAGGAAGAATCAATATTGTGAAAATGGCAATACTGCCCAAGGTAATTTACAGATTCAATGCCATCCCCATCAAGCTACCAATGCCTTTCTTCACAGAATTGGAAAAAACTATTTTAAAGTTCATATGGAACCAAAAAAGAGCTCGCATCGCCAAGGCAATCCTAAGCCAAAAGAACAAAGCTGGAGGCATCACACTACCTGACTTCAAACTTTACTGCAAGGCTACAGTAACCAAAACAGCATGGTACTGGTACCAAAACAGAGATATAGATCAATGGAACAGAAAAGAGCCCTCAGAAATAACGCCACATATCCACAACTATCTGATCTTTGAGAAACCTGAGAAAAACCAGCAATGGGGAAAGGATTCCCTATTTAATAAATGGTGCTGGGAAAACTGGCTAGCCATATGTAGAAAGCTGAAACTGGATCCCTTCCTTACACCTTATACAAAAATCAATTCAAGATGGATTAAAGACTTAAACGTTAGACCTAAAACCATAAAAACCCTAGAAGAAAACCTAGGCATTACCATTCAGGACATAGGCATGGGCAAGGACTTCATGTCCAAAACACCAAAAGCAATGGCAACAAAAGACAAAATTGACAAATGGGATCTCATTAAACTAAAGAGCTTCTGCACAGCAAAAGAAACTACCATCAGAGTGAACAGGCAACCTACAAAATGGGAGAAAATTTTCGCAACCTACTCATCTGACAAAGGGCTAATATCCAGAATCTACAATGAACTCAAACAAATTTACAAGAAAAAAACAAACAACCCCATCAAAAAGTGGGCGAAGGACATGAACAGACACTTCTCAAAAGAAGACATTTATGCAGCCAAAAGACACATGAAAAAATGCTCATCATAACTGGCCATCAGAGAAATGCAAATCAAAACCACAATGAGATACCATCTCACACCAGTTAGAATGGCAATCATTAAAAAGTCAGGAAACAACAGGTGTTGGAGAGGATGTGGAGAAACAGGAACACTTTTACACTGTTGGTGGGACTGTAAACTAGTTCAACCATTGTGGAAGTCAGCGTGGCGACTCCTCAGGGATCTAGAACTAGAAATACCATTTGACCCAGCCATCCCATTACTGGGTATATACCCAAAGGATTATAAATCATGCTGCTATAAAGACACACGCACACGTATGTTTATTGCGGCATTATTCACAATAGCAAAGACTTGGAACCAACCCAAATGTCCAAGAATGATAGACTGGATTAAGAAAATGTGGCACATATACACCATGGAATACTATGCAGCCATAAAAAATGATGAGTTCATGTCCTTTGTAGGGACATGGATGAAATTGGAAATCATCATTCTCAGTAAACTATCACAAGAACAAAAAACCAAACACCAGATATTGTCACTCATAGGTGGGAAGTGAACAATGAGAACACATGGACACAGGAAGCGGAATATCACACTCTGGGGACTGTGATGTGGTGGGGGGAGGGAGGAGGGATAGCACTGGGAGATATACCTAATGCTAGATGACGAGTTAGTGGGTGCAGCACACCAGCATGTCACATGTATACATATGTAACTAACCTGCACAATGTGCACATGTACCCTAAAACTTAAAGTATAATAAAAAAAAATTTTAAAATGTGGAAAAAATGCAGGCTATTATTGAAGTTCAGTAAAGTATTATATATACACATAGGAAAATACATACATATGTAATATACGTATCTATCCAGAGAAAAGACTGCATACAGTCACCTAAATCCTGGCAAGTCTGGAACAGAAACAATTAGGGCCTGGGCAACTGTGAAGAGCCCGAAGAGGCTCTTCTTCTGATGTGCAGGACATTCTTTGTAGTTTACTGAACTTCACTTTAAAATCTTAAGAGTGTTTGCAAGAGGGATGCAGGAGTTTGTGAGTGTGAGTGCATGTGTGTGTGTGCATGTGTTGTACACATAAGAGAAAGTGAAGGGGCTGTAGATTTCAACTTGTTCAATGTCCTAAATGGTACAGGGTATGCAATATACCAAAAAATGTAGCTATTTACCAAAGCCACAACCTAGGTCATTCACAGCACAAAATGTTAATGTATAGGTTATGTTTATAACAGAGCAAATCCAATTTTGTTTTACGTGAGAATTATCCTCACGAGTATAAAAAGGGTCCCATTCTGAAAAAGAAACATAACTTGGGTTTGCCAGTATCTTATTTACTGCCCTAGTACATCAGGCACGTTTTTACCAATGATGTGTAGATTATACAGACACGGTTCCTTTTTGTAAATGGTATTCAATACAGAACGGAGACTGAACAGCCATCACACCTTACCATAGACTTTAGATGGACATTATTTTAACTTTACCATGGATGAAGTTAAAAAAAAAAAAAGACTTTCTGGCCTCCCAGGTTTCTCTCTGCTAATGCAGCTTTACAGTGATTCCTCTTAAGATTTTCCTCTTGGTTGCCTAATTGTTCATAATCCTTTGGGGTGACTTACCTCTATCCTCTGGGTGGCATTCTTTCATGTATCTGTAAAAAAACCACGGTGTCACCCTATGGCTTTCCCTTGGCAAATTTTTGAAGTTGATCTTTAGTATATTTCCCTTTCTTTTTCTAACCCCTTCGTGACTTGACTTTCTCTTTGTAACTCTTTTTAATGCCCCTGGAACTCCACCCCACAGCATCATGCCCTTCTTTTCCTGTACCAAATACATACACTCTGCTTTCTAGAGGAAAAACCATGTTCTATGTATAATGCTATTTGTAACATCTCTAGGATTATTTGCATCTTACACCTTATATGTCACTGTAGAGGGAAATACATGAGTTTCAGGCATTGCAATGTGGTTGGAAGGGGTGCATTTCTGGAGTTAATGAATTTGAAAACTGTATGAGACAAGGTCAATCCAGGCAAACACAGTGAACTTAATTGAGGGAAATATTTACATAGACGATGGAAGAGCTGAAAAGCCAAATAGGGTAGAGTGAGATAACTCAGAAGGATGGAGGGACCACTGGGAGAAGTAATGCACCTGGGACCATCAGCCAGGGTCACCACAGGGAGGCTGGAAGCAAAGACTGACCTGTGCAGGAGGAGCTGGAGTCACAGAGGACAGAGCTGCTGCAAACTGACTGATACAAAAAGAAAGAGATGGTTCCTCTCTTTTCTCTGCCCTGTACTCTCTTGACAGTGCCTCCCAATGGTCAAACACAGCTGGAAGTAGGCCTGGGAAACAGAGATGGCAGGGGTCAACCTCTGTCATTAAAGAACAGAAGGACACAATCAGATCAGAGTGCAAACACGCCAAAGACCCACCAAGGCTCAGGAACGCATGCTCTCTGCTGATACAGGAGGCATACCTGGGTGGCTCAGGTGAAGGGTGAGGAGTATGAGATCTGAAATGTCCTATGCATACATCTGGGCCAGATGCTTCTCCCAGGTGTTGAGGATAATGGAATTCATGAATTCCCTCTCCTTTGTTGCCAGTATCTAACCTATTGCTGAATCCTGTTGACTTTCCCCCCTTATCACTCTTATATCAGCTGACACATGCTCATTCCTACATCACCAATTAGTCCAAGCCATGGTCTCTCCAGCTGGGATCACACAATGGCTCCCAGTTTTCCATCTGCTTCTATTCCTGCCACTTTCCAGTCTATCCTTCACCCCAGGGCCAAGACAATCTTCTCAAATTGTCACTATGATCATGCTGCACTTGATTATACTTTGTGTAAATCCCTTCTGAGGGTTCACTTGGCATTGGGTGCGACCACAGCTCCTCCTAGGGCTGGCAAGGCCCTGTCTGGTCTGACCCACCCTGACCATTGAGCTTCCCCAAGCTCTTTCTCCTCCAGCAGTGACCTCCTTCATAGTGACCTCCTTGAACTTGTCTGCCTCCTGCTGTAGGGCCTCTGCTCGCAGTGTTCTCTGCCGCAAATCCTCTTTCACAGATGACTTCAGCTCATCACTCAGACCCTGGCTCAGTCATCACTTCTGCAGAGAAAGACCTCTTTGACTTCCCTGACTAGGTCACCCCTCTCTCATCTCATCCTGGAAAGCAGAGACCAGATCTCCTCTCTCTGTGTGTGACTCTGTCTCCCTTCGTCTCTTTGTCTGTCTCTCTCTGGCATATAAGGTGCTGTGGACTGAGTTGTGCATCCTCAAATAGATATGTTAAAACCCTAACTCCCCGTGCAATGATATTTGGAGATGGGGCCTTTGAGAGGTGATTAGGTTTTAAATGAGGTCAGGAAGAGGGAGCCTTCATAATGAGATAGTGCCCTTATAAGAAGAGGCATTATATGGTTTGGCTGTGTCTCCACCCAGATCTCATCTGGAATTGTAGCCCCTGTAATTCCCATGTGTCATGGGAGGGACTTGGTGGCAGGTAATTGAATCCAGGTCTTCCTGTGCTGTTCTTGTGATAGTTAAGTCTCACGAGATCTGACCGTTTTATAAAGGGGAGTTCCCCTGAACCAAGCTCTCTTGCCTGTCACCATATAAGGTGTGTTTGCTTCCCCTTTCACCATGACTGTAAGTTTGCTGAGGCCTACCTTGCCCTGCAGAACGGTGAGTCAATTAAACCTCTTTCCTTATAAATTACCCAGTCCTTGGTATGTCTTTATTAGCAGCATGAGAACAGACATACAAGGCACCAGAGAGCTTCCTCTCCCTCTCTCCCCATCTCCCCATGCCCCCTTGCTGAGAGGACACAGCAAGAAGGCAGCCATCTATAAGCCAGGAAGGGAGCCCTCATCAGGAATCTGACTGGCTGGGACCCTGCCCTCGCAGCATTCCATCCTCCAGAACAATGAGAAATACATGTCTGTTTAAGCCACCTCATCTGCGGTGTTTTGTTATAGCAGCCGAAGTTAAGATAGAAGACACTCAGTAAATGAAGAATTAAAGAACGAACAACATCAGAAAGGAAAAAGCAGCCCAATACCAAATGCTCCCCATGGGATCTCTCTGATCTCTGACCCACTTTCTAAGGAATACCTTTTCTCCTCTCTAGCCGTGATGCAGACTATGAACCTGTTTCACACCGCCCCCCACAAAAACACTCAGAAGGTTCTCTTGAGGTCAGAATGAATGGTTTCATTTCATGGCTGGAAACATTTAGCTTTTTTATCCTTCCTGGCCTGGTAGATGTGAGTTTATACCTGGAGATAGGATCCACCCACAGGAGGTACTAAAGGACAAGCCACAAGAGGTTTTGTCCTTGGGAGAACAAATATACCAGGCAAATTCCCATTTATTTTCTGCTAGTCTCCATTAGGAAAAGCTGCAGACAAGACAGATACTATGTGTTTCTTTCACCTCCACACGCTGCCTGTCTTTACTTAAAATTCTTTCTTTCTGCCTATCCATTCATTGCTAGTTACAATTTTCTGTAACAATGGGCTGCCATTTAATTTCTCTCCTCTAAGCCTAACTGTTCCTCAACCCAAGGACTCACTGCCATGAAGCATTATTTTACAGTGTGGAGAAGCACCTGGCTCTCCCAAATGGTCTTTCATTTGCACTGATCAACAAGAACAACAAAAGCCTTGTGTCAGAGGTACAAGGCAACCGCTTTGTCTGAAACCACCCACTCGTCTTTTGTTTTCTTCCACAGCACACTGTGCATTATGTTCCACGTGCTCCTCTCTGGGGCTCTGCAGATGTGAAACTTTAAATGCAGGGTATTTAAAAATAATAAGGAATATAGAAAAAAAAGCACCCTGAAAATTACAGAGCTTTGTAGTGAAGCAGCATGCGGCCCTCTAAAGAGCTATGTTTATCAAGAGTTCAGATGCTTTCCGTGTTGCTGATTAGAGTGAGCTGGATGACAGAGGAAGGGGTCAGAGGGCAAGGAAGTTAAATATCAACATTGGAAAGCACCTGAAAACCAGCGCTCCTGGACCCTGCTCCTTTTCATAGGAGATACATTAAGCGGAAATACAGTTGTCGGGGAGCCCTGGATCACTGACTGCTTAAGGACCACGCTGTAATGAAGGCCTTAGTGGGCATGCGCAGAGTGGGGCTGTGCAGGGGAATTAAAATCAATAGAGCTCCCACTACATCCCAGCTCCTAAGTATTAGTACACTTGCTTCTCTCAGCCAGTCCTTATAAAAATCCTATGAAACTGTGAAATTGACATTCGCTTCTCCAGTGGAGACTGGGGGGGAGGGGGTCCAGCTCTGCTTAGTTTCCTCTTCAAGACAAGGCACTTAACTCCCCAGCTGCCGGGCCAAAGGCTCCCAGCAGAGCCATTACGTGGGAGTCTCCTTCAGCTGCACAAAGTCTCCTGGCTAAAGGATATGCTTCCTTCTCTCCTCCCCGGGGTACACCTGGTTAGTGTTGAGCTGCACTGATCCATTCCCTCTTGCCTCAATCAGGGGCAACTCTAAAATGCCATCCTAGCTCCAGGGGTCTCTGAAGGGTCATAGAGGCCTCTTAAGACTACAGTTGACCCTTGAACAACACTGGTTTGAGCTGCATGAATAACTGCACCAGACTAATCTGGTTCAAATTTAATGTAACTAAGGTGTGAGCTGTTTTTCAGTTTTCACAGATCTCCACATTGACGGTCACATAACCTGAGCATGCCCAGATCAATGAGGCATGCAACCATGGGTGGAAATAAAGTGCTCAGACCCAGGAATTTGGACTGAATTAAGAAGTAGGCAGCTGGGCGTGGTGGCTCATGCCTGTAATCCCAGCACTTTGGGAGACCAAGGCAGGTGGATCACCTGAGGTTGGGAGTTAGAGACCAGCCTGATCAACATGGAGAAACCCCATCTCTACTAAAAATACAAAATTAGCCAGGCGTGGTGGCTCATGCCTGTAATCCCAGCCACTCGGGAGGCTGAGGCATGAGAATCACTTGAACCCGGGAGGCGGAGGTTGCAGCGAGCTGAGATGGTGCCATTGCACTCCAGCCTGGGCAACAAGAGCAAAACTCCATCTCAAAAAAAAAAAAAAGACATCACATGACAGAATCCAGGATCCAATCAGATGGAGTCCTGGCATCACCCCATGGCAGGATCCAGTCAGATCATGATTCCCAGCATCAACTCATTGCAAGATCCAATCAGAGATCACACCTCATTACCTTATGCTTATAAAACCTAACCCAAACCTCAGCTCTGGGAGACAGATTTGAGTGTTTCTTCCTGTCTTCTTGCCAGTCAACTTGCAGTAAAGCTTATCTTTTCTCAAAAGCCTATGCCATCCAGGATAGTGGCTTCTATGCACACTAGACAGTGAGCCCATTGATGACTCTGTAACATGTGGGTCCACTTATACACAGATTTTCTTCCTTCTCTGCCACCCCAGAGGCAGCAGGCCAACCTATCTCTTCCTCTTCCGCATCCTCAGTCTACTCAATGTGAAGATTATGAGGATGAAGACCTTTATGATGATCCACTTCCACTTAAAGAAGAGTGAATATTTTTCCCTTCCTTAGGATTGGCTTAGTAACATTTTCTTTTCTCTAGCTAACTTTATTGTTAGAATATACTGTATAATACATAAAACATAAAATATGTGTCAATCCACTGTTTATGTTATTGGTAAGGCTTCTGGTCAATAGTAGGCTATTAATAGCCTTTGGAGAGTCAAAAATTATACATGGATTTTCAATTGTGCAGGGAGTCAGTGACCTTAACTCCCGCACTGTTCAAAGGTCAAATGTGTATGGTGTTTCAAGTTCTTCCATGACAAATCCTGCCTCCCTCACCCCTTTATTGGTTTTGTGCTGAGACCTTCCTTTCCCCACACAGTAACTCTTCTGCATGCAAATAGTCATCTCAGACTGTTTCCTGGGGAACCTACCTTTTATGAGCTGGATTGTGTCACCTCAAAATTCATACGTTGAAGTCTTAACCCTCAGTACCTCAGAATGTGATGTATTTAGAAATACACTCTTCTGAGAGGTCATAAATTGAGGCCTTTAGGGTGGGCCCTAATCCAGTATGACTGGTGCCATCTTAAGAGTCAATGAGAACATAGACAAGCACAGAGGGAAGAATATTTCAAGACATAGGGAGAAGGCAACCATTTGCAAGCCAAGAAGAGAGGCTGCAGAAGAGACCAACTGGGGCCGGGCGCAGTGGCTCACGCCTGTAATCCCAGCACATTGTGAGGCCAAGGCAAGTGGATCACCTGAGGTCAGGAGCTCGAGACCAGCCTGGCCAACATGGCAAAACCCTGTCTCTACTAAAAATACAAAAATTATCCAGGCGTGGTGGTGGGTGCCTGTAGTCTCAGCTACTTGGGAGACTAAGGCAGGAGAATTGCTTGAACACAGGAGGCGGAAGTTGCAGTGAGCCAAGATTGCACCACTGCACTCCAGCCTGGGTGACAGAGCAAGACTCTGTCTCAAAAAGACAACAACAAAAAGAAGAAACCAACCCTACTGACACCTTGATCTCAGACTTCCTGCCTCCAGAATGGTGAGGAAATTAATCTCTATGGTTTAAGCCATCCAGCCTATGGTATTTTGTTATGGTAGCCCAAGCAAACTAGTTTACCACAAAGACATCTTCTCTAGCTACCCTTGTCTCTCCATTTCATAAATGAGAACATGAGGACCAGAGAGGTGAGGTAATCTGCCTAAGATCACAGAGTCGGCAAGAAAAAGAATTGTGATCTAAAGCTGATCTTTCTGCTACATGAGATGAAATCTAAACTTGATTTTGCTGTCTGATCGGCCCTTTGCAGCCACTATTAACCCTCAGTACAGGTACCGATAACTGAATTAATATTCAATATAATTTAACCCTTGTCTAGAATGAGAGCTCCTTCTAATTGGGGTTGGTCAAGAGGAGCTAGCCACACATTGCTATGTATTGCTCTACCAATCATTAAATATAGCATATTCTTCTCACCCTAAACATCCTTTTAAAATCCAAGGCAAAATACTTACGAAAAATAATTATGGGATATAAAATACACATTTATTTATGACTATTATATAACTTAAAGCTCAAAAGAGAGATTAAGAAAACCTTGAAGCATTTTCTAAAAAAAAGAAAAAACATAAAATCATGATCTAATCTCAGCCTAGGGAAAATTATTGATCTACCTTGGAAGATGTTTTCTATTTAATTTTGTAAAATACTGCGACTCCTATAACTGTAAACTAGTTTGAGTCTTCAGAGTTCAAAAATGGCAAACATACTAAATGATTCCTACTGTTGGGATATTTAGACTATAGTCATAATTAAAATAAAAACTAAACCCTTATAGAATAGCTTAAAGATCCATCTCTCTAGATTCATTCTCCTCTACACAGTATGGTTATCTTTGCGTTTAGGGAGCATAAGGTTGAATTTGAAGCTGAGACTATGACTAATGCCCTCCAGGAAGAAACAACACAACAACAAAATGCATACTTGCTATAGTAATTATAAATTGGGAGCTCGACAATGAATGATTTAGGATTGGTAGAGCTGGGAGGGACCACAGGGTATCCCTGGTGCACCCCCTTGATTTAAGAGACGAGGGAACTGGGACCCAGAAAGATTAAACGATGTGTCCATGGTCACATCCTCATTAGTGCCAGAGCCAGGACTGAAACCAATGGCCCCTGGCTGATAATTCAGGGCTCTTTCCCCTTTGACTTGCTGCCTTGTCTCTCTATAGAAGCTGAGCTCATAAAAAGGTAACCAAATAACATGAAATCGAAAAATCATTTTAAAAGAGCCGCACCTTTTATGAATGGCATCCCTCTCCACATGACATGATGGTGTTCATCTGTGCATTGGGCTTATATTCCACAACAAAGGAAAATATTCACTCTCAGAAGGTAGGATGATGGATGTTTGATACAGAACAGAGCAAATCTTGCTCAGCAATGGAAGCTAGAGAATAAAAACCAGCCCGATACTTTTACCTATTTGATGAATCAAGTCTTCAGAAAAATGGACATTTACAAGCTTATTGCTGAGATACACACACACACACACACACACACACACACACACACACTCTCTCTCTCTCTCTCTCTATCTTTTTGGTGTTGTAAGAACAAGACAGTGACATTTAGCGGAGGTGGGAATGGGTAGTGGTGATGCTGCCACAGAGACCAAGTGGCTCACATGAGGGTAGGTGACACCTGGTGATCTTGGAGGCAACTGGACTATGTAAGAATGATTAAATACACCTTAAGGCAACACTGAGATATAAGGCTTAGAAATTCTTTTTGTGCGCTTTGCTTTTTTGTCCTGTGCTATCCGTTTGAGAGGCATTCCAACATTCATCACTTGTTCACTCTGTCACAGGCAAAGTCAGTGGAAATAAAATCCTGTTGTTTCAAACATATTTCTGACAGGTGTAGAACCAATTAAGGCCATTACTGTGTCATGTGGGAATTAGGCATTCGGCACTGTGGGTCAGGTGGCTGGCTAGTGGGGGCTGCAGCTTGGGCACAATAGTGAGGAATTTGTCATGGATATTTCTCGATAGGCAAGTATTTGGGTAGGGCCAGGATTCAAAACAGTTGTCTCCCCAAGATGCTCGGCTCCCTACACAATCATTTTTATTCATAGATGATTCCTTGAATATCAATTTTTTTAAGACAGAGTCTCACTCTGTTGCCCAGGATAGAGTGCAGTGGCGTGATCTCGACTCACTGCAACCTCCGCCTCCCAGGTTCAAGCGATTCTCCTTCCTCATCCTCCCAAAGAGTTGGGATCACAGGCGCATGCCACCATGCCCAGCTAATTTTTGTATTTTTAGTAGAGATGGGGTTTCGCCATGTTGCCCAGGCTGGTCTTGAACTCCAGACCTCAGGTGATCCCCCTGCCTCGGTCTCTCAAAGTGCTGGGATTACAGGCATGAGCTACGGCACCTGGCTGAATATGAAGTTTTAAGGAATCATTCAGGAAAAAAAGAAAAAAAAAAAGGTCTATCAGGTACTTGTCTCTCCTTTTCCCTGACTTTTTTGGGAGAATCGTTTCAAGTATCCCTTTGTGACAAAAGTCATGAAAATAATTCACCTACAACATATAAAACCCATTCTAAAGTATTGTGCTCTTGACCAGAGAGTAATTATGACCCGTAATTGTCCAAATGAGCTGGCCCACTACCCTTAATACAAGTCCATGCAGAGTAGAGGTGGCCTGTGCTTTGACTCAGGAAAGCAGTTACAGCCAGTTTACTTATAATACAGTTGGTTTACATGTTAAAGACACAAGTTTCATCTACCTGACTGTCCCAGGCTTAAACTCACCAATGACCATGAAAACTGTCTCCCGGAAACCTGCACTAACTAGTTCCAGTTAACCAAAATCAGAATCCGCTTTTTTGGAAAAGGAGATCAACCTGAACTCTGAACAAAAGCATCCGTGAGGCTATTTATACATGCCTTATCAGAATTCGGTGGGTTTAATGAACAACACAGAGATGATTTGGTGCTGACTGCCACATTATCCTGCACTGTGAATTAACATCACACACACAGTATGGTTATCGGCAGGCAGGGTTTCAGTGTTGATTGCAGATAACTGAGGGATATGTAACCTCAGCACTTCTAAAGCTCTTTTGAATGGGTTACTTGGTGCCAGGTGTTTTAGATAGGAATAATTTTTTTTAAGTGCTTGTCAGATTTCTTTTCCTGATTGTTGTCAGCGTCGTCCTATATCCTGAGGGGTTTAGCACAAGGCTGTTCTCTGAACCTCTCTCCTGATTGTTCCCTTTCTCCAGGAACACAGCCAAAATTAAACACCTCTGAGGAGGAGCTATCCCCACGTGTCTTGGTGCTTTTAAGCATAGACGTGGCCTTATTTTGATATGCTCTTTATTTAAAGGTTGCTTCTGCCAGAACTCACATTGCTGCTATTATTTTTCAGTTCACTGCAAAATATTTCTGAGTGGCTTTGCTCCCTCGATCACCCTAAAAGTGTTGAACTTCTTTGTTCTTAAAAATAATCTCCTATTTGAAGGTTAACTCTTTCTTAACATAAAAAGATTTGTGTGTGTGTGTGTATAGTATATTTTAGTGTGCGTGTGTGTACAGATATTTTAGATATTCATCCTGAGGATAATAGCAACCCAATAAGATATTATGACAGAATATTAGAAGTCAGGAAATGGAATAAAGCACCATTTTATTTGTGGCCTATGTGGCCGCATTTTCCAGAATAATGTGGTAGGTAATTAACTGACTGTTAATGTAAGGGGCATCTTTGTCATTAAAACATCCTTTTCCTTGCTTAGAGAAATGTACGTGGTGTCATTTCTTTTGAAGCAGGCCTTGTTTGGGTTTCTTTTGATTGTAGGCAGAAATCCAGTTAATCCAGTGACGGGATTACTAGCCATACTAGGTTAAATAGAATGTTGATGTCTCAGGGCAACTGCTGGAACCTGAGTGGGGATGTGAATTATGCTTCCTGACAACATACCAGCACACATACATACAACTGCCTCTACGCATCCCCATAGAGCATGTCTTGCTTTCAAAATAAATCACAAAAGAATACTTTAAGGTAAAAATGGGCATCTTTACGTTAAAAATAGAAAGCATAATCTTACAGGTTGTATTGTGGTCCCTTGTCTTCCTCGTCAGTGTTCCACAAGAGCCGAGGACTTGCGTGGGCTGATTGCTCAGTCCTACGCGTGTATCAAAGGGAAACAGAAAACCCACTGAGAGGTGTGTATTACAGTGATTAGGAATTCAGGCACTTCAGGCTTAAGAATCTTAACGATGACTTTGGACAAAATATTTTCTTTTAGATGTAGGAACCCAGACATTCCTTCAAGGGTCCCAGAAAGACTACTGAGTTTATTTTGCCTATAGAATATCAAATTCGGGAGTGATTTTACATGTGCTATTGGAAGGGTTGTTCGATGGCTATTCAGTTCTTGTCAGTGAGCAATCCCTTACTCTTCCTTCTCTGTTACATTTGTGGCTTCCTGGAGGAAAATGCTATTCTGTCTTATCTCTCTCTCCATACTCTGTGTTGGGAAGTTGGTAACAGTGGTAAGAATGTTTCTTGATAATAATGATGTCGCACAAAATTTTAGGCTTATTCGTTTCTTAATCTTCCACTCACTTTTTCTTATATCCAGCCATTGTTTTAATGGATAATACTAGTAGTAGTATACTCATAGCTTTATACATGGAATATTTTTACTTGAAAACACTTGTATATGGCTATAGACAAATATATGCAAGAATATCACATATAATACCTATGTAGATATGCAGGTATTATTTCCACTGAAGCGCAGAGCGAAAACCCGTTTGTTCAAAGTCACTTCTCTAAGTAGTAACTGAGGCTAGAACCCAGGTTCACCCAAATGCACTCTTACCCTTGCCGGGTGGTGCATGACAAAATATTCCTCCAATCTAGCGGCTCTGCTGTGACTCTCTCTGGTCTTCAATTGCTCCCTGCCAGGAGGAGTAAGATAAAGTCCTTGGCAAACCACTCCATGCCTTCCACCTGGATGGCCAACAGGGAATTTGCTTCTCTGTTTGTGCCCACCTGGTGGCCCAAGGGAGACACTGTTTCATTTTACATTAGATTCCAATTTCAACACTGGTCGCCAGCATTTGTTGCAACAGAACGTTCATAGGTGGAATGCTGGCATCCCTCTAAATCCGTGTTCTACTCCTTTAACAACTTTAGAACATATGCCTTCAGTTGTTTTAGGGACATAATTGATTCAGGTCCCCCAAAGCAAGCACTTTCATATTAACTGCGTGTTAGAAAGAGGCAATACAATCACAGCTTCAGCCATATCTCATTAGGGGCGCATGCATTTCTCAAGGCAAGACTCACTGCATGCTTAGCGCTGAATTTGTTTATCATCCTCCAGAGTCAATGCAAGATGGTACCTGACACAGAAGACTGTAGGACCCTCTGAAGCGGGAGAGGGGGCATTATAGTCTACTGCTTTGTTGTTGTTGTTGTTGTTGTTGAAATGGAGTTTCTCTCTTGTTGCCCAGGCTGGTGTGCAGTGGCATGATCTCACCCAGCTAAGTTTTGTATTTTTAGAAGAGATGAGGTTTCTCCATGTTGCCCAGGCTGGTCTCAAACTCCTGACCTCAGGTGATCCACCCACCTTGACCTCCCAAAGTGCTGGGATTACAGGTGTGACCCACCACACCCAGCCTATTCTACTGCTTTTATCATAATGTGCACAGAGCTGGTGCACAGCCAGCTGTGTTGTTTACATGTGAGTTTCTCTGTGATGTTCCTGGTCCTCTTAAACACAGAAACTTATTTTAGCTTAATTAAAGTTGACAGGCCTCTGTGCAGGTCACTAGCTCCTGTAAAGGACCTCGTCTATGGGATCAAGCAGGTTGACCAGGTAGGTTAACCTTCAGCTCACTTAGGAGGGAATTTTGAGACTTGCTTTTTTTTAGCTTAGACGGAGAAATGGAAAGAGAACATTCTCCACTTCTTTAGCAGCTGTAACCTTGGCCAGTCTTTGAAGTTTACTCTGGGGGCATGATGAGGAATGAGACCAACCATTTCTCTACCCCTTGGCTCCCCAGCCACCAGGCAAATATTAAGTAGTATAGGAGAGATCAGCACCAGGGGACCCAACAGACATCTGTTTGCTAGAAGCCAAGTCTTCAACCTAATTCAGAAACCTGCTGGAACCCAGTAAAAGAATCTGCAATCAGCTGGGAGGACTCTTCTCCAGGGGGATGCCTTTGAACATACAGGGGCAGCTGAATTATTCCAAAGGACTCTTCTGCCTGAGAGACTGAAAATACAGACTGACAATGGCCTGGTCATATATTAATATAAAAATAAAACTCTGGCCCACAGTCTGCAGTGTCCAGCCCAGGAGACCAACACACTATCTAGAGAAGCCAGCTATCCATAACTCAGACTCATCTCACTGGGAGGAAGTCAGACTACTGTCTTGTATTATTATCCAGGAAGTCAAATCATAACCCCTGTCACAATTGGACTAAAATGGCTAGGGCTTGGTCAATGACTCACAGCTTCCCTAATTTTTTTCCCCTGCTTCCCATTTAGGAAGAAAGCAGAGAAACAGAGAAGGAGTGAAAGCCAAATATAGTACCTCCAACTAATCATCCAGGAATTACCCCCTCTAGTTAGCCTGTGCGGCTTCCCTATTCCAACAGCCTCCAATCAGGACACATCTGACACCTTCTGTTTTTTCTATCTTAGAGTGGAAAAGCTTTCCCTCTCCTCTGCCAGTCTTTGAGTCTCTGCCAAAAAGCAAGAGATGGTGGCTGCCTTCTTTGCAGTTTCAAACTCTGAGTGAGTAGCCTTTGTCTGTCTTCATTTGGTTGGTCTTCATTTACTTCTACTTGCCCTGGTGTTTTTTTTCTTTCCTCATCATGTGGTAGAGGGGTTAAGTAAGTGGGCTCCAGAACCATGCTAACTTGTGTTTGAATAGAGGCATCAATGTTTGTGTGGCCTTTGGTGAGTTACTCAACCCTCTATATCTCAGTTTCCTTATCTGTAAAACTGGATAACTGGATTTGACTCAAAAGAGCTATGTGAGAATTAGGTGACGTGATACCCGTCAAAGCATTTAGAACACTGGCATGCTGATGGAAGCTATTTATATCAGCTTTTTCACAATGAAGCCCATTGTCCCATTACCATCTCGGTTGACCTGCATCATCAGGTGTATATCCTATTAAGATGCAAATTCTGTCTGGGAGAGGCAGTGCATGAAACTCTTGGCATTTACTGACAAATGAACTTCAATTAGCAAGTAAAATTTCTTAGCCTAGGAAGATTCATGGAACTATTATCAGAGGTGTTTGAACCAGAGCAACTTCATCTTGAATAGGAGTTGGGTCAAGGGAGACTGAGACCTACTGAGCTGCATTCCCAGGAGGTTAGGCATTCTAAGTAATAGGATGAGATAGGCTGGCACAAGATACAGGTCACCAAGACCTTGCTGATAAAACAGGATGCAGTAAAGAAACCGGTCAAAACCCACCAAAACCAAGATGGCAATGAAAGTGACCTCTGGTCATCCTCACTGCTCATTATACACTAATTATAATGCATTAGCATGCTAAAAGACACTCCCATCAGCACCATGACAGTTTACAGACACCATGGCAACATTAGAAAGTTATCCTATATGGTCTAAAAGTGGGAGGAACCCTCAGTTCTGGGAATTGCCCACCCCTTTCCTGGAAAACTTATGAATAACCCACCCTTTGTTTAGCATGTAATCAAGAAATAGCCATAAAATAGCGAACCAAGAGCCCTTGGGGCTGCTCTACCTATGGAGTAGCCATTCTTTTTTCCTTTACTTTCTTAATAAACTTGCTTTCACATTAGTCTAGGGATTTGCCTTGAATTCTTTCTTGCATGAGGTCCAAGAACCCTCTCTTGAAGCCTGGATGTGGAGCCCCTTTCCAGTAACAATATGACATCAGCAATCTTCCAGAGAGCCTTTATATGTGTGTGGGTCTTTTTTTTTTTTTTTTTTGAGATGGGGTCTCATTCTGTCGCCCAGCCTGGAGTGCAGTGGCATGATCTCAGCTCACTGCAAGCTCCGCCTCCCGGGTTCTCGCCATTCTCCTTCCTCAGCCTCCTGAGTAGCTGGGACTACAGGCACCCACCACCACGCCCGGCTAATTTTTTGTATTTTTAGTAGAGACGGGGTTTCACCATGTTAGCCAGGATGGTCTCGATCTCCTGACCTCAAATGATCCACCCACCTTGTCGCCCAGGCTGGAGTGCAGTGGCGCGATCTCCTGACCTCGTGATCCACACGCCTCGGCCTCCCAAAGTGCTAGGATTACAGGCATGAGCCACTGCACCCTGTGTACGTGGGTCTTTTTGGGGGCTGACAGTCAGGATACTGAATTCCTTTGGATTAGCATACAGTTGTGGAGAATGTATGAGTGTAGAGAACACAGCCGCCACAATATCCAGCCTCTTACAGAACCTGGAATGTTCACAGTGGACACGGTTTGGGTAGCCTTATATGTTTTAATTATTGGTAGAAGTAGATGGGACCTCCCTTTCCCTGAAAAATCCAGGACTCCCTGCACAGATGTTGGTATTTCTGATCATCAGAAAGTTATCTGATGAACTCATCACTTGTAATATTCACTGATTTGGCCTGGGAGAATCAACATTTCACTCCTTACTTTTCTGCAACCTCCTGTTTAGTCATGAACCACCGTATGGGGAGCTAGGTCTCCTGGAGCTTAAAAATTAAAAAAGCCTGCTTGCTCTGTGAAAAGGCAAAGCCAGCTTAGATGTTTCTACTGGAACGTAGGCTAGCCAGGAGATTTTTCTTGATGACTGTTGCAATAGCCCCCAAAGCAAAAGGTTCCTGAGAGGATCTTCATTTTGGAGCCTGGAACCCAGGACTGTGTGCATGAGATAAGGGTAATGAGGGTGCTAGGAGCCAGGGAGCTGTGTTTCATGCTCAGTCGAACCTGTTCCTTGGGTTTTTAGTCTGTGAGTGGATGGCTGATGCTGCGTGCTGACATGCATCTTTCCAGACTTTGCAATAAAACAACTGGGACTGTGACACTGTTAAAACTTCACTTTGAAGTCCCTTTTCATCTGAGGAAGGCTGTCCCCAGCAAGAGAAGGTACAAGCTTCTTCCAATCAACTCAAAATTAAGACACTGGAGTGAGAGGAGTTTTTAGCTGCCTCAAGTATTTTCTTGGAAAGAGCTGGGGTTTAAAAAATAAGGGAGCCAGCAAAGTCCAATTCTCCCTTTACCTCGATGGAAATAATTTGTTCCCGAAGATTCACTAGAACTACCCCTGGCAGTCTTCCCTGAGCACCCAAGGGAAAAAGAAATAAAAATCTAGAAAAGATGCCCTATGCCACCTGGCTTATCGTCTTACTTTCTGCTTCAGGTAGCCAAGTCATTTACTTTGAAAGCCTCTGTAACTGAACATGTGTATTTCCTGTGCTATTTCAAATGTGTTCTATTATGTCTTGGCCTTTTTCACTGATGGACTTTGCACATAGTCCTAATACCTGGTGGTACAATTTCCAAGTGGGAGGCGTTCTCAGTGCAAGCTGAGTAAAAGCAGTGGCAATATCGTTTAGGAATAAATGTAATCTCAAGAGTTGGAGTTTTAGAGTTTTCTGTTTGGCTTCAGAACCCAAGTATCACAGGACCCTGGTTCAGGGAATATGGCCTTCTCTGCCTTACTTTTGCCATCTGTATAGTGGGATGAGCTGCATTACTGATGGGTGAAAATCTAATGGGCAAATAAACTCCTAAAGTAGCACAGAGGTGGGGGTGGGGTGGCGGTGGGGTTGAGGGCTGGTTCTTTGCAAGCCTTTGAGATTCTCCCTAAGTTTAATTAAGCAAAAGGCCAATCCCCAAAAGTCTCAGGGCAAAAACAAAACAGTTGTAAAAACAAAACAGTTTTCTCTAATGGTGACAGGCAAACATTGTGCTAAGTCCTCCGACCTAAATTATCCCTTTTGCTACTTACTGAAAGCCCATAGAATATGTATTGCTACTTTTTCTTTGTATAGATGAGAAAATAAGTCTCAGATGACAAAACCATCTCTAAATCTCATAGCTACTCTATAACTCTTAAGATCTGTACTCTTAACCAGTTCATCAGTGATTCTCAAGAATTACTTTAGGGCTGATGCCCAGAAGACTAGATTGTGGATCAGAAATCAGCATTTCATAAAGCATCTGGATGTTTCTTCTGTGGGCAGCCATCTGACGACTAAGAAGTTTTGAGCTGTATTACTTTTCACTTTCCTGCTCTTTACTACATACATTTATGTCCTACTTCCCTCTTAAGAGAATTGCGGGAAAATTAAACAAAGGATGACACTCAAACAAAAAGATAAAGAAAAAATGCTAACGAAAATCAGAACTAGTAAGGAGGGCAAGAGAAAAACGTGGTTCCTTCCAGCTCATAAGACCATGTGGGTGTAACAAAGAACAGTCACATATAGTCAGTACGGTGGCCTCCTTTCCTTGATGTTTCTCCTTTCCTTCAGTAATTTCTCCATGCTCATAATGGTTCCAACGTTATTCCAGTCTCAATACCAAACTGCTACCCATCTCATATTCTGTAGTATGTTTGGGGCTGGAAATTTGATAGCTGACCATGCTAAGAATAGGGTGGGTTGTTTGGGCAGGGGATAGGGGTGGGAGGACACACAAGGCTGACACCAGGAGACTCTAGGGACAGATAATGGCTTAAAGCCAGGAGAGCAGACAGAGAGGGAGCTGCAGGAGATTTAACCAGAGACACTTGAGATCAAGCATAGGGAGTGGCAAAGATTCAAGAGCCTGGTCAGCAGGTGCACTGTGTAGCCTCTACTTGGCCCTCTCAATCCACTGTCCACCCTTCTGCATCTCTCTCTGAGACCAGGAGGCTGAGCTCCATTGAATGCAGCACTGGGGCTCTCTTGCCCTATGGTTTCCAGTTGAGTTCAGCCAATGGCAGATGCTGGCAGACCAGAGGGAGGCAGGAAGGAGACATGGGGGCGGTCATTGTCAGCTCATCTTCCAACTTGGCAAATGGGGACTGGCAGTGGTAGTACCCTGCTACTGAAGGACATGGCCTTTGTCAGGGCACCCCTACTAGCAACAACTCTCAGGATGCTCTGGTGACCACTGCCTTCCCCTTTATGCCTGAGGGTGACAGTGGCTGCTGCACTGCCTCTAGGGCTTGTGCTTTGGGTGGGCTCTGCTTTTCCCCTTTTGCCCATAACCCTCCTCATTCCATGAAGAGCCCTTGGGGACAAGGGCTCATCGCACTTGGACTGTATGCACTGCACCCTTCCTAATCAGGCTCCCGCGGCCACGGACCCCCCAAGTCTTCTGCCCAAATGGCTCCAAGCCTACTTGCAGGTTCTGTCAGGTCTGTCTTTTCCCTGGGTCGATTATGCACCTGTAATGTTTTCAGTCATAGGCTTAAGGGGTAAGAAAATGTCAGTTGTTCATGGGGGTTGGGATCTGAGCTAGGATACATGAGCTGGGTTATCTAGACTCATGTGAGACCCACTCATGGGGTGGTACAGAGCTGGAGGTGGTACAGAGCGTGAGGGTGTGGGCCAGTGGCTGAGTGGCAAGGATGGCTGGTTCTCCTGACACCAAAAACTTCCAGGATCACCCCAAGGAGTCCTAGTATTCCAAATTCGAAGCAAGCCTCCAGGTCGTTATGAAGTATTTTTTAAGGTAAGTGGATGAAATGTACTTCATTTCACAGTTTTCTTAACTTATAACTTTTAAATAGATGGACCTATGGTAGGTGGCTCTCCATTTGGGCTCCTGCCCTGGGGCCCAACAAATGCTAGAAACAGGCCTGAGGATACTCCCCCATCCCCTATCCCATGGTTTATATCCTTGGATTCTTCACATTGTTGAAGTTTCCCTTAATGTTGTCCCCAGTTTTCTAAATATTCCTGGGCCGGTTATAAAGCTACTGACTGTCAGCTTCAAAACTCACCCTCTTATCCATCTCTTGGCATTTCTGGGGCTGGTTTCTATCTTTGCATGGCCAACGAGCTCTTGGTTAAGAGCTAAGTCTCAAGTCTCTTAAGAGCTAAGTCTTGTGTCTCCTTCCATGCTAGAAGGAGACTTCCAGGCTGGAGGAAGAGGAGGCTTCCTCCCTCTTGTTTGCCTCTTGTTCCTATGTGCATCATGGCAGCTTACCATTTTACTCCGGCAGTGGCATTTTGTTGAAGCAGCAGCAGCAGCAGCAGCAGCAAGTGAATCCAGCTTGTCCAATTTGCTGTTTGTTTTCCAAAACTTTCAAAACAAGCCTCCTCTTGCCCCAGCAACACTAGCCAGTGGAGCCCCCTCCTCAGAGGTCTGCTTCTTGTCCACAAGATCCCATCTGTCATCTTCTGCATTTTAATAATCCCAACTGATGCCCGTAGTTCCTCCAGCCCGAGCTGCTTCATGCAGCTCATTTGTCTTCTGTGATTATTAAGAATTCATCCTTACCCTTTCAGTTACCCAGTAAATACTTCCTTGTATTAAATTCTCTCTGTTAAAATAACTGGTGTTTTTCTGTCCCTGTCGGCACCCTCATCAAACTCTTTTCACAGACCCTGCTTCATGGTGACATCTGTTACCTGTTGGGACACTTGCTGACATTCTGGGCCAAGAGTCAAACCAGAAACCCTGTTTGGGGTCACAGTTAAATACAACTATAAGGTCTAGAGTTGCCAGCCACAAAATGGACATACTTCATCAGTGTCTTGAGATTCGTTCAATTCTCCTCCGTGAGGAACACTTCACTTAAAGAAGGAATATTTGCTGACAGAGCACCTGCCATTTCAAAATAGACCAAAAGCATTAGGGGTATTTATGTGACCAGTGTTTTTATTTATATCAAACTGTGTTTGTGGAAAGTACATCAAGTAACAATGCAAATTACTCCAATAAGATTCCAAAAGCTGTCTGGGCATGGTGGCTCATGCCTGTAATCCCAACACATTGGGAGGCCAAGGTGGGCAGATCACAAGGTCAGGAGATCGAGACCATCCTGACCAACATGATGAAACCCCATCTCTACTAAAAATACAAAAATTAGCCAGACATGGTGGCATGTGCCTGTAGTCTCAGCTACTCAGGAGGCTGAGGCAGTAGAATCGCTTGAACTCGGGAGGCGGAGGTTGCAATGAGTCGAGATCGCACCACTGCACTACAGCCTGGCGACAGAGCAAGACTCTGTCTCAAAAAAAAAAAAAAAATCCAAAAGCTTTCTTGAAGCCCCCACCCCTATGAACACTGGCAAAATGCTTATGCTACCACTAGTTACAGCCCAGTCCCATTGAATCATGGCTATTTATCCCACAGGTTTGCTCACTTTATGTGGTGTAAAGTCTAAAATTATGGCTCATCATTATGTAACACCTTGATATTTAGTAAACCAGGAGGGCCTCTAATGGTCTGACCACAAATTCCCTCCCCATTCTGCTCCTGTGGATAAGGTCCCCCAAGCCAAATGTTCGTTTTTGTTGTT
Source organism: Homo sapiens (assembly GCF_000001405.40). Lineage (NCBI taxonomy): Eukaryota > Metazoa > Chordata > Mammalia > Primates > Hominidae > Homo > Homo sapiens. The sequence continues at coordinate 10,535,750 of NC_000010.11, read as the reverse complement.
GTTGTTTTTGTTTTTGTTTGTTTGTTTTTGGAGACAAAGAGTCTCACTCTGTCGCCCAGGCTGGAGTGCAGTGGCGCTATCTCGGCTCACTGCAGCCTCCGCCTCCAGGGTTCAAGCGATTCTCGGCCTCAGCCTCCTGAGTAGCTAGGATTACAGGCGCCCGCCACCATGCCCAGCTAATTTTTTTGTATTTTTAGTAGAGATGGGGTTTCACCATCTTGGCCAGGGTGGTCTTGAACTCCTGACCTCATGATCCACCCACCTTGGCCTCCCAAAGTGCTGGGATTACAGGTGTGAGCCACCGCACCCGGTCCAAACCTTCCTAATCGAAGGGACAAGGTACGGTTCCTGCTCACCCAAGTGGTGGGTTTCAGTTCTCTGCTGAACTGTGGGATTATCCCAACAAGCCAATCACAGCCTGCTATGGGAACCAGAGGGCATCTCACCCTTTTGATACTACACGTTCTGACTTCCACAGCTGTAGGTGTTCATCCTGTTCCCAAGTGCAATCATGCTGTGTGGTCCTGTGTACTCTGACACTCTCTCCTCTCCCAGTCTCTGAGTCCATGAGACTCATCAAGTGCTGTTGATTTCATCTGCCAGTATTGGGTATTGAGTGCTTCAACTTCTCTAACACTCTGGGGAAGGGGTTCCTGTCTTTCCAATGTGGTAAATAGAGGTGATTAAAACAGGAGGTAAACTAAGATCCCTCCATACATATACTAAGGCTGATGTAATGGGATTTTAATGACAGAAAATTCATTTTTTTCTTTACTTGAAGTAAAGTTATGTGGTATTAATCTAATTAGTTCATTATATTTGCATAGACAGATTTAACATTATCCTGTTTGTAAAGAAGATCCTTAAAGGTCTCTTCAAGTATTAAATAGTCTACTTTATGCCTAATCCTACTAGGGAAAGGGATTAAGCTGCTTCCTTTTTCAAAGTGCATCAATTCTTTTAGACCATAATAATATATCAGGGTGACCTCTTGATTCATTCTAAGAAATACCTCAGTGGCCTGAAGTTAACTATTTCTTAAAAGTGAATCCATTCTTTTCTTCTCCAAGATAGGATTTTACTTGATATCTCATAAGTGGGGGAAGACAGGCGTAGAACTACAGATAAGTGAGGAAAGAGAAATTGAGTTGGAGCATGAGGTCCATATTTTCAATTTAGTAAGCCATCATAAGATTTATCTGTATCTCCCTTTATCCTTTCTCCCTCTGGCTCAGAGGAAGAAGATTCTGTCTTTTCAAGGTTAACCCAACTCTGTGTGTTCCACATCTTATTCCTCCTAGGTTCCTCGGAAACTCGCTCTATCAATTTCTTTCTCTCTCTGCCCTCTTTGTCCCTATCAGCAAACATACTCCGGTCTCCCCACTTTCAAAGATGTTCTCTGAGTTGCCTCAAATTATTTTGCTATTTTCACCTCTCCTTTTACCCTAAACTTCTTTTAAGTGTTTTTTCTTTACTTAGTGCCTGCTTTTTCCTTTCTCTGTCTCTCTCTTTTTCTTTTTCTTTTTTTTTTTTTTTAACAACTCCTCACCTCTTCGAATCTGGCTTCTGTCTCTGCCATTTTACTGAGAATGTTCCTGAAGAGTCAAATACAGTTGCCTTTTATTTTTTTCCAGTCCTTATCTTTTTTGATTACTCTCAAGCTTTTGATTTTGTGGTCTATTTTCTCCTATTCAAAATACCCTGTGACAGGGTAATGTTTTAATTTTCTTCCTATTTCCAGGTTTTCCTTTCTTGGTTTCTTTTATTGCTGATTGATCTTTAAGTTTTTCAAGAATTTACTTAGAGGTATTTTGTTTTCTTCATACTCTCTTCTTCAGTGATCTCATTTAATTTCAGAAATTCAAATATTATCCGCCAGTGACTTCCAAGTAGATATCTGTGTGCCTCAGCTCTCTCCTGGACTCCAATTCTCTACTACTTGCCGTCAATCTTTTCCTGGATGGCCCATTAGCATCTCAGATTCAACATACTTTGACCTTAACTTATTGTTTCCCCAAAGAGATCTCCTTGTCTGGACAAAGCCTTTGTCCATTTTCTCTGATTCTTTCTTCCTAATGTGCGAGGATTCCTTCTCTGTCAAAGTGATTAAGCCATTCGCCCAAGGGCATACAGACAGCTGCAAAGTCCAGATTCAAACTGGAGTTTCTCTGACTCATACACTGGGCTTTTCCCTCTGTAAGTTACTCTGAGGTAAAGAGATTCAACAAGATGTAGTTTTAGCTCTTGAAAGTCCTACAATAAAGTTCAGGAGGCAGTTTTGTAAAAAATTAATGACCCATAATAGGTATTTAAAAACTATTAGTGTACCTTCCTATGTCTCCATAATGATCATTAAAAGTTTGTATCACAATTTTAAGAAAATTGTACTCTCGTTCTTCTAAAATGTATATGCTCTGAATATTGGACTCTATGCTCCTCCCCTTGACCCTTAAAAATCATCTTCATTAAAAGACAAAACAAACTCTGTTTAATCAACATTTATAGGTAAAATAAGAAGTGATGACTTGAAATCAAAACACATCTCTGTATTTAAGCCCATACTGTAAATCATACTCTCCACATTGAAATGTACTCTAATTAATTTCAGGTGTTTACAGCTATATTATGGTAAGTTGTCATGGTTTTGAACAAGTGAGCATAATTTAGCCATCTGCACTATTTCTTCTCAGTTACAAACCCAGCATTCTGAAATAAGATGGATTTAAATTTGCAGAGACAGCACTCAGAGAAAGCACGAAGCCAGAAATGCTAAGTTCATGAAAATTCCCATCAACCCAACTCTCCCGCCAATATTTGCAAGATGTCTTCTTGAGTGGGGTTGCTCTCTATTTTTTTTTTTTTTTGAGATTTTGTCTCTTTGAGAAGAGGATAGCTTCATCTTTAATTTTTTTTCTCTTGTATCATTTTAGCATTTAATCTTCCAGTGATAAACCAAGGTAGCTTAGAAGGCTCCCTGGTCTCTAGTGAATAAATTAACATTCCTTTTGAAATACAAAGATAAATACCTAAAAGAGATACAAAATTTGGAAGCAGTTAATGATCCTCATTTAACAAGTGATATCTAAGACTGACCTTAGAGTTGGCTGTATCCTATTTAGATATTAAGACTATAGGAACTGGAGCAAGGCTGTGATATTATTTAACTAACGTTCTGCTGCTCTCAATGTAAGATTATATAATCACAGAAAACTTTATCACAATACACTTTGCCTTCCTCCCTTAACTTGTGACTTCCACTTAAACTCTTAGGGTTCCAACTGTGCAAATGAAAGTGCTGCTTTGGTAACAGCTTGTTGAGAGAACTCCATGTTTCCCAGGAATGTACTTGAAGAAGATTAATGAGTTCTACATATATGCCAAGTCAATCTGTTCCTCCCTGTCAATCATCATCCCAGCAACAAGCATCTGAATCTCTGCTGATATGTTTTCAAACAGATGTGTGGCTTAAATTTTAATTAAATCTTGGGAACAAATGATTACTAAAAACTTTCCAAATTTGTGGCCAAGGAGTTTTACAGTAGCGTCAAATGAATTTTGTTGAGTAGACTTTGTCCACTTGAGCACTTCTCAAACCCAATGGTAACAGAAAGGGTTGCAAAGATGTTGCCTGTCTTTTGAAAGAACTTGAGTACCTTTCACCACATTGCCGTTAGGCAAATATGGAATACTTGAGGCTTAAAATTCTGTGTACTTTCCTCACTCTCAGCCACCTTTGTTTAAGGCTGTCTGAGCACCCAGTCAATCCTCTACTTATTGTTTTTCTCGTAAGGTAGAGTCAATATAGCCATTAATGCACCTGTAATACCATGAGAGGGACTGGAGCACCAGGACAGGCCAGGGCCTGTTCCCAACACCATTTGCTCCTGTCTGTGGGACCACAGAGTGCTGACTATCATCAGGATTGATATTGCCTTTTATTTCTAAAAATGATGAGTTTCCAATTAAACAATCTCTAAAAGTTTACTTTAGTAGAGATGATTAATTCTGATTCAAAATTTATCAAACAGAAGTGAGAAGAGAAATTGAACTTGTAGACTTTACCATCAACCTCTTCCTCCCGCAGAATTCACACACAGATCAGGATGCTAAGTGAAGAGTGCACCTGGCTTAGGAAGTACCTCATGACCTGGGTAGAGCGGCTCAGTGTGGGAGATAAAGGAGGGGCTGGTGTTGGAGTCCAAAGAGACTGATTCAGAATAGGATGTGAAGTCAGGAACTGGAGGATATGGTCAGGTATCCCAGTCTCATAACATTATTTTCCCTTCATAGAACTGTTTGTCCTATGAACGATTTAATAAAATCATTGGTTATTTTATTATCATAAGGATACTACAAGACCTTGGTCAAGTTACTCAATTTTGTTTTAGAGCGTGATTAAAATCACCTGGGGGCTGCTGTTACAATACAGATTTCTCAAACCTAATCTACTACATCCAGAGTTCAATCAAGTTACCTGTATCTTAAAAAATGTCTGAACTTGTTTCTGACGTAGGTGTTCCCCAGGGCCCACTTGAGAAACTGTGGTTTTAAAGGAATATCAGTTTAGACTGGGATGATGTGTGACCACAAGCGGATGCCAATTCAAATGTATTTCTTTCGAAGATGTGGCTAGTATATTTTGGAAAGATCTAGTGTTGACATCAAGCATTGATTTTTAGCTTGCTGGTACTGTAACAGGGTGAAAGCACAGAGAGACACAACCATGATTTTATGTGCTAATATCAGCAGAAAACTACCACTTGACCATCATCTTAATTAGCTGTTTTGCATTATAAATACTACGAGCAGTCACCAGCTGCAGGTGTATGTCCACCCTCTGGTTTACGCCTATGTAATTTGAAGACACGGCATTAAAAAGACCATTCTATTCTGCATCTAAAATTTAAAAAGTACCAAATTGACACTGAAAATAATTTTTAAGAAGAATTAGTGAAGAGCATGACATATTGGCCACTTCAGAAATCTTTCTTCTTTCAATGGACCCATCTCAGCACTCACTGTTTTTAAACACCTTTGTAGGTAACCAGGTATCAATACGTGATAGTTTTATGTTAACTCAGAATAATTTCCGCAAAAGAGGAAAGAGCAAAGAGGGCTTTCAGACACCCAGAGGAAGAGTCCTTGGATTGTATGTGTATATTTGTGTCAGAGGCATTCAAACCAGAGCAACTCCATCTTGGGTGAGGCCTACAAAAATGAGGCTGAGACTTGCTGGGCTGTGTTCCCAGAAAGTTAGGCATTCCTAGCTTCTAGATGTTTATGGTTAAGGGAACAGATTGATAACGTTTACTAAACAGACCCAGACTTGGGAGTGTCCTAATATTTCAGTATCTTGACAACAAAAACATTCCTAATTTTGCTTTAAAAATAATATTTATTCTTGCAAACTATAGTAATTAAGAAATTAATCCTTTATCACAAACCCTTGTAGCAGAGCACATCTCCTCACAATCTTTTTATCCTGTATAAAAACAAGCATCGTACCTAGGGTGGACTCATTCCTCCTCTTACTTTTGGGAACGTCCTACTCTGTCTATGGAGAGGCTGTTCTTTCATCACTTTACTTGCTTAATAACCTTCCTTCTGCTTTGCACTGCAGACTAGCCCTGAATTCTTTCTTGCATGAGATCCAAGAACCCTCTTTTGGGGTCTGGATCGGAACCCCTTTCCTGTAACATTTGTGTGTGAAGGGGAATGGTGAGTGGGGAAAATCAATGAGTACACCTCTCATCTCCCATCTGGGCATCAGAGCAACTGCAGAAACTGTTCAGCTTCTACAAGCCTTGGGCATTCTCTTGAGAACAAAGGAACGTTCTTAAATTCTTGCTAAGCCACAGCCTAAAGATGGTGGCACTGCCTTGGAGTCTGTTCATAGCCACTGATGTGGATTCTGGGGTAGAACATCTTTGTCATCCTTATTATACCAAAATTATTTAGTGTTCTGACTGAGGCAGGGTTAGGCTTCATTTTCCCTTAGCAAATAATTCACTAATCTTTAAGATTGCTTCACACTCACCATTTTTTTTTTTTTTTTTTTTTTTTTTTTGAGATGGAGTCTTGCTGTCTCACCCAGGCTGGGGTGTAGTGGCACAATCTCGGCTCACTGCAACCTCCGCCTTCCGAGTTCAAGTAATTCTCCTGCCTCAGCCTCCTGAGTAGCTGGGATTACAGACGCGCACCACCACACCCACCTAATTTTTGTATTTTTAGTAGAGGTGGGGTTCCCCATGTTGGCCAGGCTGGTCTTGAACTCCTAACTTCATGATCCGCCCACGTTGGCCTCCCATAGTGCTGGGATTATAGGTGTGAGCCACTGTGCCCTGCCAACACACTCACCTTCTTTCTACCCCAGCAATCTGTGTCTTTTGTTCTTTATGTCTTCCAGCTTATTATCATCTACTCCCAGAAAGCTTGGAGAATTTTCTCATTCCTTCCTGCTGCATGACAGCTGCTTAAGAGTTTATTAGCCAAATACTGGTGTGGGAAGAGTGACAGAATCTCCATCCACTAAAAAGAACACACTAGGCTCCTCTGAATTTTACAGAGCAGAAATACAGGCCGTGTCTGCATTGCTAGACTCTGCCCAGGAGAGTGATATGAACTACATTTGCTATAATGCTAATTTAAATTGCCATTAATGAGCATACATATTTAAATTGTAGACTAGGAAGTACTATTGTATATCTAGCTTATTTCTATCCTGCTCAGGCTGATAAGACACTCTCCAGACAACTGTAATTATGGGTCATTTGTAGAAAATAAGAGCTGCTTTTTACATAGCGGAAATAAAAATCAATTCTTCATTCAATTACCATTCTTGGCTGTGCTATGATAGCTACTCCTGGTAAATAATCGCGTCAAAATAAAACCAATATTAATAATGATAAAGTTTTAGAGGACAAATTCTTCCTTTGAAGATCAAAATAAACTTTTTTCTTTAAGTCCCTTCCATAACAATGAGTCATGAGTGAATTATCTGCATTCTCCTTTCACTTATTTGGTGATAAAAGATCTTAAAGAAGTATTGCTGCATGCAATGACACAACACCACTTCTGCAGGATGAGCGGTCATAGAAAAGATCACCACTCAGTAAATGCAAGAGGAAGAATCACCAAGTGTGGGCTGGGGATCTGTTGAGCAAAGAGGCAGGCCAGCACTACAGGCAGACTCTTAAGTGGGGTGCATGCTCACCTCTGTGGTCTTCAGCTAATTTAGGGGGAGTAGATTAACATATTAATGTCTTAGGTTCAAGAAGCAGTTCTCTAAGCTTGAGACTTCCCTCTTGTTATGTAGGTGCTGTTTGTTTTGCAGGAAGCCTTCCACAATAGCATTAAATGTCAACAGCAACCAGCCTACAGGGTCATGGTGAAGAAGGCCAAGGTGTCTGCAGCTCCAGGATCCCCTTTCTCAGCCCACACTCACCTTCTTTCTGCCCTCCCAGCAATCTGTGCCTTTTGTTCTTTATGGCTTCCAGCTTATTATCATCTACTCCCAGAAAGCTTGGAGAATTTACTTATTCCTTTCTGCTGTATTAACTTTATGACAATCACACACACACACACACACACAAAACAGGAATCTATCTTCAGCTGTGGAAATTCAGGCATCTGTAAATTGAAAGCACATCTGGCGAGCTGGTTTGGTTAAGAATGTTGCAGGATGAGTTAGACATCTGCAGGCCTGGGCTCTTATCTGAGGGTAGGTCATTTAACTGTGTGATCTTGGGTAGGTCATTTAAACGCTCTGAGGACTGAATGAAGTAATGTGTGGAAAAGCCCTTTCAAAATGAAATGAAAAAGCTCTGTGTAAATGTCAATGAATCTGCTAGTTTCCCTGAGATGAAAGCTTACTTGAGTTAGAATTATACACAGTGTCAGTCTCTTAGGATTGCATCTAGACAGTCCCTCACTAAAGCTTGGCCCTGTGTATGTGCTTTTCTTCCAAAGGTGTCAAAGCCCCAGAGGAGAACAACTATGTAAGCAACAGTATTTTCTTCCGCATAAAGAACTGTTGTCACCTATTGGAGGCAATGACTGGTTCTTCAATCACTGCTAGAGATGGCTTGGAGTCTCCAGTGTATCCTCTAAGGTCCAGGCCATATTATAATAAGGTAAAGACCTCTGCCTGAAATTCAAGCATCACTTAGAAAAAACTCAAGTACTGGATTGATTTGGAAGAGTCAAATATATTCCATGGTGTATGTTATCTTTAAATGGAACCCCGTGATTATTAATACTTTTATTTTTAAACTCTATAGCCTGGTTACTTTTTTTTTTTTTTTTGAGACAGAGTTTTGCTCTGTCGTCTAGGCTGGAAAGCAGTGGCATGAACTTAGCTCACTGCAACCTCTACCTCCCAGGTTCAAGCATGATTCTCCTGCCTCAGCCTCCTGAGTAGCTTGGACTACAGGCGCATGCCACCATGCCCAATTAATTTTTTTTGTATTTTTAGTAGAGATGGGGTTTCGTCATGTTGGCCAGGCTGGTTTTGAACTCCTGGCCTCAAGTTATCCACCCGCCTCGGCCTCCCAAAGTGCTGGGATAACAGGCGTGAGCCACTGCACAGAGCCAGCATGGTTAATTAAGAGCAGGTCAGCTCCACGGCCTCAAACAGGGTGTGACATCATTGGAGTACTGCAGTGGTGAAAGAAGATCAACCGAATATTAACCCTTTTTCATGTGTTTATGCAAAAAAACACATCTGGATTGTTTTCACTTGTAATGAAACCATAACATTTTGCCTGAGCAGCTCAAACTGCTGCTGCTGATTTATAAACAACTGTGGTGCAAGTTTAATGCAGCCTCTTGTGGTCCAAGGGTAGGACTTCCTTCTTTGCTTAGGTGTCCAGAAGTCCAGCTCTGAGTGGTTGTTCAGCCTGTGACCTCCAGGGAGAGAAGGAACAACGTTCTGTAGAAAGGACCCAGCCATTTTAAGTGCCATTAGATACAGAAATCAATGCTGTCTTCTCTATGATATTCCTTTTGTAGCACTTTTTGAAGATCATCCATTTGTGTATTCAACAAACATTTGTTGAGTGAAAAAGAGTTGGAAGTGACAGAGGTTGGAGTTGGTGGGTGATGAGCTCAGAATGGGCATGAGGTGGACTTTGAGATGCCTGTTGGCTGTTGACTTGAGAAGTCCAGGAGGGAGTTGAATTTACATGTCTAGACCTAAGGGCTAGTTTACAGCCATCAGTACCTGATGCGTATAAGGTCACCCAGGCAGGTTATGGGGAGTGGCAAAGGAAGACAAAGGGAAGCATATTAAATGACAACAATTAAAGGTGTCTGGAACAAGCTGAGTAGTCACCAGAAAGGTGAGAAAGCCAGTCCCTCCCACTCTTTTGTAACATTCCTTGTGATGTTACTCTGTGTGACTTTATCTGAAGTTTTAATTCTAGAAAAGAGATCTTCAGGGAAATGTTTATGCAATAAATCCATAATTTTTTATTAGAACATTGTTTTTCATGTGACAGCCTATTATTTTTGATTCTATAATATCTTTGCAGTGATAGTTTGAGCAGAAAAGCATAGATACTTGGTTGAAAACCAGAATAAAAATCTAACAGGTCTATTGAGCTAGTGTTTTTAACTTTCTAAAAGAGCTAAGCAACTTAGAAATACATCAACATCTATATGTGAAAAAACATGCCAGCATCACTAATCATCAGGGAGATGCAAATTAAAACCACAATGAGCTATCACCTCGCACCCGTTAGAATGGCTTTAATCAGAAAGACAACACACGTTGGCAGAATGTAGAATCAAGAGAGCCATTGTATATGGTTGGTGGGGATGTAAACTAGTACAGCCATTATGGAAAACAGGATGGAAGTTTGTCAAAAAATTAAAAATAGAGCTATCATATGATCCAGTATGATCCACCACTGGGTATATATCCAAAGAAAATGCAATCAGTATGTGGAAGACATTCTCATGTTTACCACATCATTTTAGACAACAGGAAAGATACGGAATCCATCAACCTAAGTGACCATCGGTGGATGAATAAAGAAAATGTTGTCTATATGCAAAACCCAATACTATTCAGCCTTAAAGAAGAGGGAAATTCTTCCATTTGTGACAACACGGGTGAACTTGGAGGACATTAAAATAAGCCAGGCAAAGAAAGACAAATTTTGCATGGTCTCACTTACAGGTAGAATCTAAAATGTTGAAACCATAGAAGCAGAGGGTGGAATGGTGGTTACACGGGGTCAGAAGGAGAGGGGAATTAGAAAGATGTTGGTCTAGGGTAGGGATGTTCAATCTTTTGGCTTCCCTGGGATGCATTGGAAGAAGAATTGCCTGGGGCAACACATAAAATACACTGACTATACCTGATGAGCTAAAAAAAAATTGCAAAAAAATCTCATCAGGTTTTAAGACAGTTTATGAATTTGTGTCAGCCACCTTCAAAGCTGTTCTGGGCTTTCTGTGGGTCGTGGGTTGGACAGGCTTGGTCTAGGGTATAATGTTTCAGTAAGGCAGGAAGAATGAACTGTGGAGCTTTACTGTATGGCGTGGTGACTGCAGTTATTAACAACGTATGATATACTTGAAAATTGCTAAGAGCATAGATTTTAATTGTTCTCACCGAAAAAAACTGATCCCGTTGTGAGGTGATGCCAATTAGATTGATTTAATCATTCCACAACGTATGCAAATATCCAAACATTGCACTGTATCCCATAAGTACATACAATAAAATGAAAGATGACAGTGTACACCTATATGTACACACCTGTATACACTATAATCTAAGAACCCTCTACATTAGGACTAGAGCGATATTATCAGAAACATATATGCATACATGCATATTTACTTAATTGCTGTCTCCGTGAGAGTTTTCTTGGCTTCCAGGCATGAAACAAGTGATGAATAGGGCCCCTCTCCTCCAGAAATACACGTGCTATATTTCTAAACAAAAACTCATTTCATCCAAAGTTTGAAAATGACCTTGGTAATTTTTCAACTCAAAAGAACATGCTCAATCAAAGTGTGAGGCATCATTTGAATACTGCTATGATAAAAAATAGAAGATAGTGCTTAAAACCTTTAAAAAATGCTTACCCATTCTTGAAGGTATTGGAGAGAGAAATTCTATCAATTCGAAAGCCTATCTTCTACATTTTTATTTATGAAAGTGAACTCTCCTTTCAAGCAACTTAAAATTAAGGTCATGGAATGCTTTCAATGCACTTGGCTGTTTTCATGTGGCAATAGCATACAAATGGCCACAGTCCCCATAACTCAATCCTATGTTAACAATGACTGCATGCTTATTCAGAGGCCTGTGAACCTGTGTTCATACTAGATAGGGCCTAACTGTAGCCTTAAGATCTATGAATCTCCTAGATTCTTCTGCAAAATGTATCTACACAAATAGGAAGAGATCTGTGCACATGTGCATAAACCCAGAAGGAACATAATCTTTTAAACTTCTATGAGCTTTGCCCTCTTAGAAACATATTTACTTCAAGAGAAAATGTCTCTTGATGCTACCCACTAGACATTGCCACCCTAGTTTTCTTTCTTATTCCTTCCATTTGCTATGATTTTCATCTTCCCCCATTTCTTATTATTTTAGGTACCACCTGTCTATAGAAGACTTCATTCACTGAAAGTCTTTCCTACTAAGTGGGGGCACACAGCTTACGTATCTCTGGGCACAACTTCTAGTTGTCTGTGCTTAATTGAAGCTAAATCTGCCTAAATCATTAACACATACAGTTTATCTATATAAATTTGAGGTTGTAGCAATGTTGCTGGCTGAAGAACTTGAACTGCAAGGTGGATGGTGCCATTCACAGGCTTAAGATGCTCTCGTTGTTTTGAGTGATCAAGCAGACTAAAGTATGTGGCCTTCCATTTAATAAATGAACACTGTTGGTAACTCTTCAACTGCAACATGGAAGGCTCTCCCCACCCCTGCACAACCCAACCACTGACATTGCACTTGATCATGAGCTCTGTGAGGGCAGGAGCCATGCTCTGTTTTTATTGTTGCATCCCTAGTTGTAATGGAAAATGTGTTCAATAAGTGTTTATTAAGGGAAAGAGTGAGCTGAATGGAATTTGAAAGGATTCATGATGTCCCCAGCCCCGTTGCAAGGATCAACTTACTTCTAATTTAGATTCTCAGAAATTTCAGCCTCAGTGAGAGTCTAAGGGGTCTTTCTGTGCTGGTTTTATAGCAAGCTTACAAGGTTTCACCACCTCCCCAGTCATAATGTCTGTAAATGTATACAGCACTATAGTAAGATACTTCCAAATTCTGATGACAGGTCACCTCCTGACTGTTAATACAATAAAAGTTGAAGTAAATGAATGTAAACATCTATCTGCATAATATCCCATTTAAAAAATCATTTAAATACATTTAGCTGAAGTATCTAAAATGTTCCCAATATCTATTGAAAGATATAGGTATAGTCAAGCCTAGAGTGTTGCTAAAGAAACTCATAACCTCCTAACTTACATTAAACCTCGATGGCTTGAAGTCACTGTGTGGAGCTTATCAAGAGAAATGGAGAGAAATTCAATTCAGATTGTAAGAATCTGGTAGGTTGATCTGTAGGGTCACCTTTGACTGCCAGCTCTTCCCTGACTCATCTCTCCAGAGGTAGACACATTTGACGGTCCATAGGTGGGCTCCATTCTGCCCAAGTCCCAGAATCAAACCTTACTTTTAGCAGGAGAAACTGGAAGAGTTCCAACTCTGTGGTCTGGACCTCAACTCTGAGCACCTTTTCCGTTTGCTTGGCTCTGTCCTGAACTTAATCCAGGGCTGACCACATACTAAATGCCTTCCAAAGATGAAGCACATTACATATGATTAATAGTAACCTTCTGGTGGCCAGACACGGTGGCTTATGCCTGTAATCCCAGCACTTTGGGAGGCCGAGGCAGGTGGATCACTTAAAGTCAGGAGTTTGAGGCCAGCCTGAGCAATATGATGAAACCCCATCTCTACTAAAAATATAAAAATTAGCCAGGCATGGTGGCATGTGCGTGTAATCCCAGCTACTCAGGAGGTTGAGGCAGGAGGATTGCTTGAACCCAGAAGGCAGAGGTTGCTGTGAGCCAAGATTGCGCCATTGCATTCCAGCCTGGACAATAAGAGCAGCAAAACTCCATCTCAAATAAATAATAACAACAACAACCACCACCACCTTCTGGTTTCTTAACCAGGAATGTGCTCTTGACTTTTCAAAAATATGTACCTTGGAGTGCCCTGTAGATGGTACGTGCTCTGTGAGAACATGGTTCCGGTGATTCCTACATTTGGAAAATATTGTATATTAAATCCATGTTCGTGCACATTTCATGTATTCATGAACGCAATTCCAATCGGCATGCCGAAGATTGGGAAGAGATGGCAGAGACATCTAGTTTGTCTGTTTAGGCTCAATATTTCCTAATGTTGGTTGGATGAATGGTTATAAAAAATTAAAACAGGAAGGTCAATTGGCTGCTACTTTCGATATCTTGATAACAGGAAGAATTACTCCATAGAATACTTCGAAGTATTTTTGCAAACAACATGTGGAGAAGGGCTCTTGGGTCCCATTTTGGCTCCAAGAAAAAGATTACTGGGATTATTTAGAAATATTTGCCATGGGTGCAGTAGATGTGAGGAAGTTGCAAGGTTTTGTCATCCCTGCCCCAGATAAAGGTGACTTCACCAGGAGATGCCACGTCTTGAAACCCCAGCTGGACCATGGCCATCCTTGCTCATTAGCTGCAGCCAGGTGTGGACCAGCAGAGCCCCGTTACCCCCATTCATTCCGTCCTCATTATCTGGTAGTTAGAGAAGGATGTCATGAGTATGTAGAGTTCCCTGGTTTTTAGCTGTTAAAGTAACACATCTGCTTATGGCTTTAAAAAAGTAGCACAGACATTTTCGCAGAATCCTTGGAGTTACACATTGATGAAAAGAATCAAATAATAAATTAACTGTCATGTCTTTTGCTTTAGCTAACAACTCAAGGAAGTTGTATCAATTTTTACAGCTTAGGGTTAGCAAGTAAACAAGCAGATCAACACAGCCGCTCCCCTTTCTTTCACCATTTTGGCTCTACCACTTCAGACGAGTTACATGAAGATCTGAGGCTCAAGGGAGTTAAAAGCTTAAAAAACACAGGTAATAACAGGATCTAGCAGTTTACTGAGAAAATTAAATTAAAAATGCATTAAAAGTACTTAGCCTAGTGCATGACATGGAGGAGGGATGAAAACTGTTTTAGCTATTAATCTGAAATACTATTAATAAAGAATAATTGCTATGATTAATCTGAAAACTGAAGGCACAGAACCTTGACTTAGCTTTCCAAGACTGTGCCTCAATAGCTTCCCAGGCATTTTGGAGGCTCCCAATTCTGCCCTCTTTGGTCAAGTGCCTGACATATTTACTGAGACATGGTGGCTCTGTTTTGGAATATGGTACTTCCAGGATGTCATACCCTTGTTGATCTGCGGTAACTGTGCTCACTGAGTCGTCATAGCTCTGGTTTTAGTCTGGGACAAACGACTCACTGTCTTTAATTCACCTTTACTATCACACAGCAGGGGATACCTGTGCTTCTCTGATGGTCAACACTCTTGTTTCGAGCCACCTTCTGTTTCCTCTTGCTCAGTGCTGACCCTGCTTGTCTCAGATTCAGCAACCTGAAATCTTTCCACTCCTTCAACAGAAATTTTAACAGGGACTTGCATTTCATAAGCTAGTTTGGTTACCATAGCACTGTGACTCTTCTCAGGACCTGATTTGAAACCATCCAGCTTGACTAAGTAGTTACTAATCTGTTTGGTTTCCATTTAAACTTCCCCTTTTTTTCCCCCATATGCTCATTACTGTGGTTTATATTCCGCTTCTGATGATAGCTAACCATTTCTGTGAAGCCTAGAGCATAATAGGTATTAAAAGCTCAAGCCTTCTGATGCATCTGCTATTTGTTTTCCCTCCCTACTAATTAGCGGGTCTACATTCTCCTTTGTCTTGTTCCTAATGTATTTGTGAAATATCGTCTGGCTGCCCTTTGTTTCTCTCGCTGGTTGCATCTCATATTGTGCTTTGGCTTTCCGGCTGCTGTTCCCCTATTACGCCTGCCCTATTCTCTTGCCCTTGCCTTCAGCAGCGTGCCCTCATTTCCCTTTACATGTCATTTCATTCTGGCAGCTCAAAGCTCAGCGTGGGTTTTGCTCTCCATTGAATCACTAGCTGAGTAGAAGCTCGAGGACATGCTCTTAAGTATTGGGAGAACAGGAATATTTGGCTCTTGTGGTATCCAGTGCTTAGCTCAAACTGTAAAACATGACAGTATTTTCTGGAAAGTCTACCTACCCCTAACCCTGGAGGCTGGACAGCTTGCCATGGTGTCATCTTGCTCTGGATATTGTTGGGTCTTGAGTGGTATCCTTTGTTGACATCAGTGAATGTTGAACCAGGGTCAGGTATAAAAGGGTCTTTCATAGCAGCTCTTCTTGTCCTTTCTTGCATCCATAAAAATTTATAGAAATTTCAGGTTTCTCCATAGGTCTTTTAAGAAATCTTTATAAAGTGTTCTGGGGACAATCTAATGTTTCACTTAAAAAATGCAAAGCAGGTTTTATTCTTCCATGGTAGTCTACTATCTGGCTGGGTACATTGCAAGATTTAGTAGATCCCATTATGAAGAGGAAGATGGAACACTGAGGTCAGGAACCATAGTGCAGATTTCCCTGGCTGGCAATAAGGGAGGCTGGGCAGGAGGACAGCCATCCTCTCTGCAGCTGAACCTTACAACATGCAATAAACATCCAGAGGTCTGGGGCTCATCTAAACAGAAGGATTTCTTAGTCTCCTAAAACTGTGAGACCACCTCTGGCACTCTTTGAATAACAAGGGAGACAGACAGCCTTAACCCTTCCCCATCTCACGTGCCTTTTGAATTGAGTGCTTGCTGGTTTAATGGTGAACGCAGGTAAAGGCAACCTTCACGGGGTCCAACTCACCATTTTCATTTGTCTTTCAACCCATGACCAGTCTTGTGGTTTGGCCTAGCTCAGCATCTGGGAGGTGGTTTTCATAAACACAACAACCCGAAATTGTTTACTTCTAAGAAAGCTTTGAGGAGAATGGAACCCGACAGGAACATTGCAGGCATTCTTTAATTTTCAGCATTTGGCTTTCACAGGATACATCTGTCAGGACTATTTTTCTTTTCTTTTTCTATCACTAGGAAGTCAAGTTAGTTGACTTGTGAGGTTCCAAAGCTTCTATAATGTTATCTTTAATATTAGTAGTACAGGCACATCTTCCATGCCATCACAAAAACTGTCAAAAGCAATGTCTTGGGTCATGTCATTTTTTACAATTCTGGATTCTTTCTTTGATTTAGCCTAATATTAGGCTATATTCATTTGCATAGAAGATTTATTCAAAGCATTTATAGGTTGCTATTGTAATGGAACTTCCCGAGACTGGCCCTTTAACAAGCAACCATTTCCAGAGATCAGCCTCGACTCTGCTTCATGAACATGTAGAACCTGGACCCAGACAGGCAAATATCTTGCCTGACTCCTGTTCTGACACTTTAGCCAATTCCATTTTGCTAAATTCTGTTCCTAGCTTATGGCTTGGGTCACCTCCCTGAAAATCCAAACTGGTCTGTCCTCAGATTGTTATTCATATCGAGTCTCAGATCATCCTATGTTATTTTTTGATTGACTTCCTGGTATTCTGTTTATTCTTCCTAAAACTTGGCTCTTATTCATTCCCTTCCTGATTCTTTTTGGTCTGAAGTCCTGACAAATTGTTGTCTGCTTAGAAAGCTCCACTGGGCTCACCTCAGCTCCCAGCAATGTGCTGTCCCAATTACATGAATAAATTGATTTTCTTAGATGGTGGCCTCTCAGCCAACTTGTCCTCCTCTGCACTTTTGGAAGCTGGGTCACCAATAGGACATCCTTACAAGTGGCCCCTTCATATTTCTTTGACTATGAAGCCATTTTTTTTTAAAAAAAAATCATTTTGTGGTATGTTATATCTACTCTGATGTCCACCATTAAAAAATTGGTGCCACTATTAGCTGAGAACATTAGCTTCTTTTAGATTTGGTACATCAGCACTTAGTATTTCATTAAGAATTTTACTGCATCTTGGTTAATACTTTGCAGCTAAGATGATAAGAGAGAATTCCTACTCTTGCCATGTTTGAGATTATAGAATCATAATACTAAAGATCCCATTTCACTCTCCATGAGGAACCCAGAACTCAGACAGGTTAAGCAGCTTATTAAAGGTCACACAGTAGCAAACCAGGAAGGTGAAATACAATCTCCTGCCATCTACTGTCTATTTCCTTTATCACCATTTCAGCGTCCCACACAAAATGCAGACACACAACTGTGTGGAGCTTGGGCTGAAGAAAGCTCAGTATTTGTCTCAAGTCCATTTTCAGGTAGAGTGCAGGGCTTAGGAGAGTTGAACTCAGAAGAGCTTCAATTACATTAGGGAAATAAACAAAGATTAAGATGCTACAGCAAGAGCCAACATCCACAGTGGAATTCAGAATTCCAGAATTCAGAATGGGTTGATGGTAGAAGCTGGGCTGGGTGTTATTGTTGAGAAGTCGTCTGGTAACTTAGCACCATGCAGGAAATGCTAAGCCTGAATGAGACGTTCAGACAGCTGGGTGGGTTTCAAGGAGATGGTGGGTGGTTGTAACGTGGTTTGTCACCTTTTCAATGGAAATGAAATCCAGCAGTGCCAGGGAGGCCATTGTATTTATATAAGAAACTGGCAAGCCCCAGGTGTGGGAGGCTGGAAAGCCGGAAAAGGAAGTGCCATTTTATAAAGAATTTTCTAGCACATTAACCACATAATTCCTCAGCAGGATCGCTAGCTCTTTGCAAAGAGCAAACCTCTCCCACATAATTGCCATAGTGGGATTGCTTTTGGACAAGCTTCAGAGCTCCTGTTGAGAATTATGGCAGCATCTGGGCACCTAGTGAGGCTACACCTTGATCGCTACTGTCTCTGACTATCCTTCCCATGTTGCAGGGAAAATCGCCTCTGCCTACCCTTCCCATGCTGCAGGGAAAATTGCCTCCTAAGACCTGACATCAGCCTGGGCAGATGTCTCCAGTGCGTTTCACTAAGGGATCCAGGCTTCAGATGTAGAATATGGGCCCTGAGTATTGGCCTGAACTCCAGGAGACAGGCACATGTCAAAACATCCTATTTGTGATGATGTTATTTGTTATTTGTTATGAATGGAGCTGACCAGGGTCAGGGTGGTGAAGGGTTGACAACCTCCCTGTTTTCCTTTCTGTGTTTTCCTTTCCTCCCTTGTAATCAGAATTCTTATACCAGGAAGGGGAACATGAGGAAGCTGATTAAAAGTGTGGGCTCCAGGATCAGACTGCCTGGGTTTGGCTGGAAACTGAGGCCACCTCCTACCACTTCAGGCCAGTTCCCCCTCAGCCTGGGAAGCCTCCCGTTGAAGTTGAGTCCCCCTCAAGCTATAGCGATTGAATGCAGAATAACCCTAATCATGCCTGTCTATGATTCCAGTAATTGTAAGGGGCCTAAATGAGATAAATTGCATAGAGTAAAGTAATAATAATAAATATTAGATATTATGTTGCTGGTCCTTCTTTCACGGGAAAAATTCAATAAATTCATGCACTGCTGTTTCCACACAGCTCTTCTAGTAGCTGCAACATCCAGTAATGAGTGAAGGTGATGCGTGGGATCCTACGGTTCTCTCAAAGAGGGGACATGCTGTGCTGCGGAAGGAGAAAAAAGAGGTGGGTGCCGCCCTCTAAGGCCAGGCTGGTTTGTCCATGGGGAATGAAGACAGCAGGCTGAGAGGGATTGTCTGAGAAGAGTAAGTTTCCAGAAGAACTGAAAGGGACTTGTCTCCCCCTTCCAGAGTTGCCCGGGTGGCAAGGGGTGGGGAGAGAACTCAAACTCAGCCAAGGTGATTTTTGCTTTTTTTTTTTTTAATGATGCTGAGTATTTATTTTCTGCCATCTTCTCTCTCCAGATCTATGGACATAATTTACACAGGACCCCCGAGGGTAATTAAGCCAGCAATTCTTTTGCCAGTAAAATGAGAAAAACCAGCTCTCAGTAAATTCTGAATTCCACTATGGATGTTGCAGAAACAGAACTAAAAACAGCTGCAGTTTATCTGTGCTGCCGAATTGACTGTAATTTGCTGCTACCCTCACCCTTACCACATAGCAATCAGTGTACAGAAGTGCAGAATTTTAAGATGATGAATGTTTTATTTCTTAAAATAAACAGTAGCAATTTAGCAACATAGTTATGTATTTTACATTTTTTATATAGTAAAAGTATATTGGAAACTTCCTCAGTGTCAAAAATCCTTACATGCACTTGTCAAAAATATCAAGATGACAAGCTAATATGGAATTCAGATTTAAATAATAGACTTCTCAGATACATCCCATGAATCTTCTGGTTGTTTTGTTTGCACTGACCAAGAGATGCCTATTGCCTACCCCTAGTCTGGTATTTTAAGATTGTCAGAAATAGTCACGCAGTCCAAAAGTTAGGACTAGGGTTTTTTCTTTTGTTTGTTTGTTTTTTCAACAAGTTAACTTTTTCTCAGCCTAGCAAACGCCAGTCACCAAATGAGTTTCTTTGCTTGGAATCATTTCCTCAGTCCAGTATCTGCTTTCCATGGTTGTAGTACACTGACATAGTCTCACCCGAGCTGGTTATTACTACCGTCTCTTATCAAATCTAAGATTGGTGGATTTTAAACGCACCATTATTTCATTTATGACTAAGCAAGAAAAACGTTGCCAATTAAGTGACATCATCCATCATTAAGATGTTTCCCTGTTTCGGAGATGTTCAATGCGAAAAATAATGTGCATCTTAGGATCCATAAAATATGGCATCTCTACTTTTCAGAGAAGGAAACTGGTTTAGTGACTGACCCAAATTCGCATGCCTACTAAATGGCGATACAGGAGGCAATCTCTTATTTCTGACTCCTGATCTTTCCAACTTGGCTTGTCTTGCACTGTGACCTTGAGTCATGAATTCCCTCTGGGCTACATTTTTTTCCTTCTTTGTTTCAAGTGGCGTTAACGGGGATAATAACAGAGTATCAGTGAGTCACAGTGGGACACTGAGCTAAAAAGGATTCTTTTGAGTTCAAATGATCCTTTTTGCTCTCTCAGGATCACTCGGTCTTTTACCAGACTGAATCTTGTTTGTTTTTCCTTATTATTAAATATAAATATTCAACTACTATATACCAGTGCTTGAAAACTATATAGTAATAGAAGAGATTTCAGCTCCAATGAATGAGCTTTAGTCAACATGATTAAGATATGTGATATGACTCCAATGGTGGATTTGGGAAGATGTATGAACATGATTAGTTTTAGCACATAATTGAATTGTGTGATTTCATGAGTTTACACAGCTAGTGTCTTCTGGCTTCATTACACATACAGAATTGATTGTGAGAGCTTGGCACAAAGTTTATAAAAGGCGATCAGGTGCCATTGTAGAGTCCGGTGTTCCCACAGTTAGCTCTGAGGGTGTGTCACCTGCTCAGGACCCTCTGTCCCTAGTAGCTCTCAGCCTACTTGGTGGAGCTTTGTTCTTGTATTTGGAGATCTCCTTTCAAATCCAAATGCCACAGGCAAAACATTTCAGTCCTTGCTGCTATGATGCATTTACATAACCTGTTATATAACTCCTTACTTGTCATAAATGTTAATTAGCTGTGCTTTGCAAGGCTTCCAGAGGTTATTCCAATTTTACTGATGAGAAGATGAACGGTAAGATTGATCTGGGAGCAATAATTTGAATCATGCCACATGACACAATAGAGGTTTTAGGAATTAACACTCACGCTCTTGATTTGTTCATTCTCTGTTTAACCCATGGATTAAACAATCTCTGGCTATTCATTTTCTTCAGAGGAGGCCCCTAAAAGCACCTCTGTTGTCAATGCCTTAAATGTCTTAAATCTCTAGAGATTTAAGACACACCCCCATCCACCACCGACTATTTCCAACCTCATCAGCCATTATAACCAAATCGTTCTTCTTGCCACGTCTGAATCCACGTCTGAATCCCATTCTCTCCCAGGCTTATCCTGTAGGCTCCTGCTCTCGGCCAGGGCTCAAAGCCCTCCCTCAGGAAGTGCCAGGAAGCTTCCAGCACTTGATGACATGCTGCTTTGCGCTTGCTGTTTCTTGTGTTAACATCCTTCAAGTAAGTTCCTGGTGATCAGGGACCACGCTTTCATTTTTCTTTATTCTCTACCTCACCTCAATTATGCTGAGTCCACAGATGTTCCCCAATAACTATTAAAAGGAGTATTTGACTAAGTGGATTCACCAGTAGGTCAGTTACATACTTGGCCAACTGATTTAAAAAAAAAATTCCATGAATCGATCAGTTAGTATAACGAGCTACTTTCTATAGCCAATTGTCTCTGCAAACTTCTATACTTATAATATTCCAAACTGAGTTATACCATCTCTCATTCTACAGTGTTTGAAATCAAGAACTTCATATTTGCATATATTTCCTGAGGGTCTGGGAATAACATCTTGGAAAGCTCCCAGGAGTTCTGTGTGCTTAGCAAAGAATATGAATAAACCTGTCAGCAATCTACCCAGAGTGGACGGCTCCAGGGTGTTGAGTAAGTGAGAGCAAGTGGAAGGCTCTCTTCCATTGCTGGCAAGAGGAAGGGTCTAGGCTTTGCTCAGAGAGGGATCTAGGCTTTGCTCAGAGAGGGATCGAGGCTTAGCTTAGAGAGAGATCTAGGTTTTGCTTAGACAGGGACCTAGGCTTTGCTTAGGGAGAAACCTAGGCTTTGCTTAGAGAGGGATCTATACTTTGCATAGAGAGGGAACCAGGCTTTGCTAACATATATTGCTTTTGTCCCTTCTATGGGTCTAATGCAGAATGTGGCATGGTCTGTAAGTGAAATCTGCGAGTTTATATCTTTAAAAGTTAAAAGTCTTTTAAAAAAGTCAACGCTGTATAATTTAGAGATTTAAGATACACCTTTTGGATTATTTTATCATCTTGGATATTTTACTGTAATTTGAACTTTCTGCTATATGTGGGCAACCCTGCTAAAAAAAAAATCTTGAAGCCCTGGGATAAAATGAGGTTTCCTTGCTACTCTTATTTTTGGTGTTTATGTCATTTTTTCTCTTCCCCAGTTTATATTGGATGAAGGAGGAGGATTATATTTAACTGGACAGAAGTAGTTACTGTCATGGATTCATAGCCTTCATTTTCCTTTTTAAAAAGCCTTAAAATAGAAAATCAAAGAAGGAAATCTTCTGATCCTAGTAAGCTGATCATATCAGGATACAAGAAGTACTGCTCTTTCAGTAAATCAGGTCTAGCAGGACTAGATGGGAAGATGATGTGGTTGTGACAGCTGCCACCCTTTGATTACTAGATTTGATAGAGTGATACGACTTCTTCAGTATGTCACAGCATGTTCATAACAATAAAAAAAACAACAAAAAAGGGGCAAAAATCTCCAGTGTCCTGTAAACTACTAAGGTACACAGAAGTTGGTCCATTATTAATGCTTAAGTTGAATCCTTTAATGACACTGATTATTATCATTGTGCATAACCAAGAACATTCAGTGAAGGAGTGGGTGATCCGAACAGCCTTGTGCATCACCAGAAAACCACCACCATGGCACCGTTTTCATGGTATTGAATGTATCAGTGAACTGTGGGGCCTTGACTTTTGGGGATAGGCAGCTTCTTATAAAGCAGTGGGCTAAAATCATCCCAAGAGCATTTCTTTTAAGCCTGGGATGGTGGCCAGGGTATTGATTTGACCACCCACTAGGACTAATAGCTAATCTTTAAATCTTCTGATGCCAAACGAAATTCAGTAGAGGAACTAAAGAGACAACTGTGGCTTAACAGGAGGGGAGGAACTGACCAAACAGCAGAAATAAAAATGTCTTTAATTGATCCTGTTAAGAGTTCTAGACCAGGAGCGGTGGCTTACGCCTATAATCCCAGCACTTTGGGAAGCTGAGGTGGGCAGATCATTTGAGTTCAGGAGTTAGAGACCAGCCTGGCCAACACGGTGAAACCCTACCCCTACTAAAAATACAAAAAAAGTTAGCCGGGCCTGGTGGCGCATGCCTGTAATCTCAGGAGGCTGAGGCAGGAGGCTGAGGGCAGGAGAATCACTTGACCTGGGAGGCGGAGGTTGCAGTGAGCAGAGATCACGCCACTGCACTCCAGCCTAGGCAACAGAGCAAGACTCTGTCTCAAAAAAAAAAAAAAAAAAAAAAAGCGTTCCAAAAGTACCTAGACTGGGCTTCTCAGAAGGAAGGTCTTGTGTTTAATGTGCATCAGCAGTAGAGAATTCATTCTTTTCTATTGTGATGGTATGGTACTGTTGACATGTGGTGCCATGCCTTCCAAATCCTGTCACAACAGATGTTGCCATCAGCAGCACAGATATTGACTGAGTTCCCACTCTAGGCTTCAGAGTGAGGAGGAGGCATGCTATTTCATCCACATCAAGCTCTTTACTTGCTTGTTTCATTTATACCCTCGAGCAAGGAGCTGATTAGTTGATAAAAAATTAAATACCCAGAGAGAAAAATAAGGATACTTTGCCAGATCCTCATAGTCCTTCTGGAATATACTGATTTTGACATCCCTGTGTTCCAGGGTTACAATAATTCAGTTCAACAGATATCAGTTGAAGGTCTGACATTTGCAATCTTGTGTTGGCTCTTTACGAAGAAGAAACAGATATCATGTTTGCATTTCAAAATATTTTAATCAATTTGAAAAGGGGGACTATGAGTGCAAATTTGTAGCCTCAATAAAGAAAACAAGAGTAGCAGGCCTTGATATGGTTCTTACTGGGCTGCTGGCGGTTTGAAGTGGCTATTTGTATTTATTCATCTGATTCTTACAACAACCCTTGAAGTAGGTAATATTATTATTTACATTTTATAGTTGAGGAAACTGAGATGCAGATAGATTGAAAGAAATTACCCGAGATCTCATAGTAGAAGTGACATTTAAACTGTGGGCAGCTGTGAAGCTATACTGATATCCACTACACATACTGCCTTCAAGACAAAAGCTCCCAGGGTCTCTGCTGAGTTTATTTACTTAACTATCATTATCTGGTCTTACTTTTGCTTTTTTCCTTTACACTTTATTCACCAAACAGCAGTCAATATAATCCAAACACACCCATATATAAATATATATACACATTAAAAATATATGTATACATATATTTTATTTATTTATTTAGTTTTGAGATGGAGTCTTAACTCTGTCACCCAGGCTGGAATGCAGTGGCATGATCTCAGCTCACTGCAACCTCCACCTGCCAGGTTCAAGCAATTCTCCCTGCCTCAGTCTCTCCAGTGGCTGGGATTACAGGTGACCACCACCATGCCCAGCTAATTTTTGTATTTTCCAGTAGAGATGGAGTTTTGCCATTTTTGCCAGGCTGGTCTTGAACTCCTGACCTCAGGTGATCTGTCCACCTTGGCCTCCCAAAGTGCTGAGATTACAGGCGTGAGCCACCGTGCCCAGCCTGTATACATATATTTTAAAGTAAAAGAGATCATATAACTCTCTAGCTCAAAACCCTGACACTCACTCCATCTCATGCAGAACTGAATCCAAGCTCCAGGCAGGCCTATGGGGCCCACAGAGCCTGCTGATGCCACCTCTCTGAGTTCCCTTTCACCTTACTCCTTTATCCTTTTCCCTTTAGTGCCTCTGGCCTTTGTATTCTGGGAACATCCCTTGCTCCTTCTCCCTTCAAGCCTTTTGCATTTGCTATGCCCCCTATCTAGAAGGCTCTTACCCCAGATCTTTGCAAGGCTTATTCCAGTTTAAATTTAGATTTCTGCTCAGAGATCACCTTCGTGGATGTCATCCAGAAGAGTCCATCAACTGCCCAGCACTCTTCTTCCCTGAGTTATTTTCTTCCTGACACTTATCATTATCTGATACTAAATTATCTATGTGCTGGTTTTCACTACAGCTATTAGAATGTAAGCTCCAAGAGGACAGGGGCATTACACATTTTGTTTACTGCCAGCACCCCAGTGACAAGAACATAGCCTGAAGCACACTGTCAGTGCCAATAAGTATTTGATGAATGAATGAATGAGTGAATGAGAAAACCACTACATTGATGAAATATTACTTGGGGTGATATTAAACTTTTGGCAAGATGAAGATAAACGCAAAGAAGATATTGCTATTTTATGCCATCTCTCCTCTCATTCCCCCGCTGTTCAGTTTTTGGCTTACTAGGCAGGACCACACAAACAACACAACCTAAAAGAAGTATTGCAAAATGCTCCTATTACTAGGAAGCTAGTTGCACAGAGGGCTAAAAGCCACTCACATTCTGAATCAAGTATTACGGAGATGACTTTTCATTAGTGAAAATATCTAATTTTCATTCAGGATAATGGCACTTACAGGTTTGTGAATAGGAGGTGAATCTAATGATAAAATGTCCATCCAGAGGGATCATCACTAAAATGAAGCCTTAACCAAGAAAGATCTAATAAATTAATATTAAAGGCAATTATGGGTTGGATAAGTATAATTTGTTTCCAAGGAAAAAGGAGCAGGGCTAGCAATGCAACGCACAGGCAAGAACAGATAGGTTCAGAAGCCAGAATCCCTCCCAGCCATGGAGAAATGCCTTTGCAGGTGCTGGGCCTTGGTTGTAGAAAGAGCACAATTCAAGTTCATTGGCAAGGTCAATGTAGGGTCACTGGTGGCCCCTCCATCTCTGACTCATGGTTGTGCTTGTTGATGGGGAAAATGAAAACACCTAATCCTTTGAGTCCTCTAGGAATTCACCCTCAATGTACTGTAGGGGCTTTTCTGCAAAGCGACTACAGTGGTCCCTTTTTCAGTTTTCCACAACTGCACCAAAGCTGAAGCAGTGAGTTTGCAGTATGTGTGGCTAATCTCAAAGGGCCTCTTTGACAAGAGATGGCAGCAGAGACACAGATTATTTTCTAGAGTCAAAGGTTTTCTTCCTGGGGCAGGCTGGGATTTATTCTGTAGAATGATGTCTTGGTCCATTCTGGCTGATATTACAAAAATACTATAGACTAGGTGGCTTACAGACAATAAAAAAATTAAATCTCATAGTTCTGAAGGCTGGGAATTTTAAGATTCAGAAGCTGGCAGATTTGGTGCCTGATGAGGTCAGATTCCTCTGTTCTCACTGTAGTCTCATTTGGTGGAAAGGGCAAATGGACTGTCTGGGAATTGGGGCACTAATCCCATTCATAAGGGCCCCACCTTTATGACCCTGTCACCTCCTAAAGTTCCCACTTCCTAATATTGTTACATTGGGAGTGAGGATTTTCACATAAATATTGTGGGGAAACACAAAAATTCAGTCTCTATCAACATCACAAGCAGGCATAATAGAGCTAGGACAGTTTACTCAAGGACAACAGAGTAATATCCAGTCCTTTCCAACTCTTTACATCCACATTATGATCCTTCCAGTACCTGAAGGAAAATTCAGCATGCAAGCAAAACAATGGGAAATAAAGTTAAACAGAACCTCCAATCCTAGATTGCATCAGATTCTTAGGAATTACACATTTCTCAATAAAAGTATGTTTTAGCTTTACCCAACCATATAGCCACTTTGGGATTCAAGATGTTTGATCATTATTATTGCATTAATTGAAAATATATATCTGGGCCGGGCGCAGTGGCTCACACCTGTAATCCCAGCACTTTGGGAGGCCGAGGCGAGTGGATCACGAGGTCAGGAGTTCAAGACCAACCTGGCTAAGATAGTGAAACCCTGTCTCTACTAAAAATACAAAAATTAGCTGGGCATGGTGGCGGGTGCCTGTAATCCCAGCTACTTGAAAGGCGGAGGCGGAGGTTGCAGTGAGCCGAGATCACGCCATTGCATTCCAGCCTGGGTGACAGAGCGAGACTCCATCTCAAAAAAAAAAATATACACACACACACACACACACACACACACACACACACACACACACATCTGTTTAAGAAATCTGGGTGAGGGAAGTATTGAAAATCTGATCAATAAGACATACACACAACCAGTATGCCTAAC
This sequence comes from Homo sapiens, assembly GCF_000001405.40. NCBI lineage: Eukaryota > Metazoa > Chordata > Mammalia > Primates > Hominidae > Homo > Homo sapiens. The sequence goes on along the minus strand of NC_000010.11, from coordinate 10,508,584 downwards.
TGACATTTCTCCCTGTGGACTATTGGGAAAAGTCCCTGAATAATTCCTAATTGGAGCCAGGGCTTAGATAAATCCCACAGGACATTTCAGATGGCTTGGGCCATTCAAGAGCATGCCGAGGCTCTCTGATGTAGGTTGTTTGGCTTAAGGATTTGAGGAAGCAAATAGAAGCAGCTGCACTAAGGATTTTCTGCAATTAGATTCATGCAGATTCTGGAAGCTGCTTATTAGGTCTGTCACTTTCAATCCATCTGGCATTTCCATGTTCAAGTAGTATTGCGAGTCACTCAGTGGGGTCAGTGGTTTTCCTTTTACATGCAAGACAGCATGGTACTACCGTGAAGGCTTATCTGTTTGAGGTAGGATGCACAATTTGACTGCCTATTGCAAGGAGCATGAATATTTTTTTTTTTTTTGTATTTGTCTGTGAGAGACAGCACAGACACCTCCCAGGAGTTCCAGTATAAACCAGTCCAAGACGAAGATAGTATCCCCAAGTTGTTCTGGGCTTATTCATTTTTGTTTTTATTTTTTGCAAAGGCTCTTTCCTCTGGTACCTTATGTAGCACACAGAAAATAAAGGTAAATGCTATAGAAAGCTAGTTTATCTACTTTATTTCATCATTTGTTTGGTATTGATTCAGGAAGTTGTAAACTAATTAGATGCTAGCCCTGGAACCGGGCTTGACTCTTTCCAATGACTAAATTTGAGGGCTTTCAATATTAAAGATCACATCTGATCACTTAGAATGTGCTAATTTTTTTAAGCATGATTCCTCCTTCTACCTTCCTCCCAAAAGTGCTATTTTATAAAGTCAGCTTTCATTTGGATGGAGGAAAATTGAATTCAAAAACATTCAGAAGAACTTCACATCCATATAGCACACCCTCCATCTTCCCACAAATTCCTCTCCTTTCCATCCTGGTCTCTCAGTTGACCATAATTTTTCCATGCATGTTTGAGGATGTGCTTATTTGGAAATTTTGTGTCTCCCCTTTCTACCTTCTAGGTAGCTAGTGGGATCATGCTAATCCCTACTATATCCTCTGGACTATGCAGTTATGAGAACTTCCAACTCCCAGCCCCAATCCTTAGTATTTTGTAGATTTTTTGCATTTGTACCTGACCTGTTGAGACTCTGAGAACAATCTTTTCCAAGCAGCTCATTTACCTCCAGGCCTGCTTGGAAAGAAAAAAAATCTAAAACAAATAATCCTGTGACATTGGTGGAAGTATCAGCAAAAAGCTGGGGGACATTTTGTTTCTCAAAATTTAGGTGTGAGTATTTCCGGATGTTAGTATGAAATATGCTTAGATGCTATCTTTTATGATTTTGACTTAGAGTTCCATAGAATCAGGAAGTAACAACAGCCAGTTTTTCAGTAAAACTGGCTGTTTATTAAAAAAGAAAAAGAAAGAAAAGGAAGGGCTCATGTCAACGTTACATTGAAGTGCCTGAAACCTAGGACAGCGATCGCTGAAATGACGAAGTGAACTGGTTTCCGGCCTTTCCTATGAACTGAGAACTAAACACCCCAAATCTCCATCATGTGGTCTACAAAGCACATCCTTTGCCTGGATCTCCGCTGTGGAACGTGGCTTTAATATGCACAGGAGGTAGCCAGGCGCAGTGGCTCATGCCCGTAATCTCAGCACTTTGGGAGGCTGAGGCAGGTGGATCACTTTAGGTCAGGAGTTTGAGATCAGCCTGGCCAACATGGGGAATCCCCGTCTTTACTGAAAATACAAAAATTAGCCAGGCGTGGTGGTACGTGCCTGTAATCCCAGCTACTCGGGAGGCTTAGGCAGAATCCAGGAAGTAGAGGTTGCAGTGAGCCAAGATTGCACCTCTGCACTCCAGCCTGGACAACAGAGACTCCATCTCAAAAAAAAAAAAAAAAAAAAAAAAAAAATTCACAGGAGGTGGACAACTGTGGTAGATAGTAGCTGCATTGTTTAGGCATTCTTCCAGAGTCCAGGATTATAACTCCTGCTTTTCAAGTTTATATTCCTACAAGTTCTAGAGCCTCTGCTCTTTCTTAAGGGAAAACAGATTGGGGTAGGGAATGGGTGGAGTGGGGCAGGTGGATATGATGGTTGTCTCTTGACAGTGAAGTTTGATTTACATCAATCTTTCTGGTGGTCACTTTGATAATATTTGAAGATCATTAAATATTAGCCTTTTTAGGACCCTCACTCATTCCAGAACCAGTTGGTGACAGAAATTCAGAATGAGTTGGAATAATTTATCGGCACATACCTATATAGACACAGACACAGATACACACACACACACACACACACACACACACACGAAGTGCATCTTAAGAATTTGATGAGAGCTGGTGGAAACAAAAAAAAGCATGAGACTCAAGAGAGAAGCTCCAATGATCTTTTTTACTTTCAGTAGGAAACAGGAAAATGTGAGGAAATTTTTTTTCTTCATTTTGCTGTTGCAAGAGGGATAAGAATTTAAGGATAAGTAAAACTTTAAAAAAAAAAATGAGAGAATACCGACTTCTGCTTCTGGGCAAATGGAGTAGACACACTTTTCCTTATTCCTTTGTCTATATACAACTCAAATCTCTGGACATTATGTATAAACCAAACACAAGACTTTGAAAGGTGGAAAGAAGGTGGTAGACCATCTAGGGAACTTGAGATCTGAAGATAACATGGTGATGAGTTCCCAGATATAGAGCTGAAGTCGTTGCCAATTCAGAAATAGCAATAGGCACATTTTAAAAAGCCCAACAAAAGTTTATTCTCTTTACCCTACCCAAATGATCAGAAAAGCAGCAGCCTAGCAAGACATAAAACTATCTGCTAGGTAGTGTTTTAACAGTTAATATCTGCTGTACTTCAGATGAGTTCATGACTTCAGTCATACTCATAGTAGCAGAGGCTGAGTGGGGAACCTAGAATTTTACCCTCACCAAGCTGTAACAAGGTATTCCAGGGCCCCAGGGGGGTGGTGTCAAAGAAGGCCAAGTAGAGAGCTAGAACGTTAATCCCCACTGACCAGTAATGAGGTCCCCCTTTCCCTTTGCCTCTTCTCCTTGGTGTTAGTGGTCTCTATGTAGGGGAGCCTGAACTTCCAAGTGTACTTGCAGTAATAAGGTGTCTTTTCTCATCTCTGCTGAGCTGGGATCAGAAGCAGCCTGGTGGAGAGTCAGAACTTTCATCCAGTGGTAATAAAGTCACCCTCACCATGGTGTCAGTGGAGGTTACCTGAGGATGCAGAAAGCATATCCCAACCCTGTAGTAAAAAAGGAGCCCTCCCCCAACTTATGTGTTAAAGAAGGTTAAGTGGTTAACATGGACCTCTATCTCTACCTGGCATTAATGAGGCAGTACCCTCCATTAGGAAATCTCCTGTTTCCTTGACATAGGCATGTCAGAGAAAGCCAGTGAAACCAAAGTTGTGATTAATTAATTTAATAGTCTCATATTAAGACAAAAATGTCTAGGTTTTAATTTAAAAAACCAGTCATCATAAAAAGAACCAGGAAGATAGATCTCAAAATGAATGGAAAAAATCAATAGATGCCAACACCTTGATGACAGACATGTTTGATTTATCTGACAAAGGTTTTAAAAGCAGCCATGATAAAAATACTTCAACAAGCAATTACAAACATACTTGAAGCAAATGGAAAAAAAAGAAAGCTTCAGCAAGGAAAGAGAAGTTATAGAGAAGAAGCAAATGGTAATTTCAGAAATGAGAAATATGATAACCAAAATAAAAAGCTCAGTGGATGCATTCAACAGCAGAATGAAGGGATCAGAAGAAAAATCAGTGAACTGAAATATAGAATGACATATTCTGAATAGAGAGAAATACACTGAAAAAAGAAAAAAAAACATGGACTCAGAAATGTATCAGGGACATATAGGGCTATAACAAAAATATCTAACTCTCATGTCATTTGAATTTCAGATGGAAAGAAGGAGGTGGGTAGTGGTAAAAAAGTACTCAAAGAAATAATGCTGGAAAATACCCCAAATCTATTAAGAGACATAAACCTACAGGATATATCCAAATAAATTTCTGCCAAGGCACATAATCAAGCTTCTGAAAATGAAAGATAAACATCTTGAAAGCAGCCAGAGTAAAAATGATGCCTTACCTATAGCAAAAACAATAAGAATGACTATCGATTTCTCATCAGCAACTACAGAAGCCAGAAGGAAGTGACAAAATATTTTTCAGATACTGAAAACAACTGTCAACAAGAATCCTATATCCAGTGAAAATATTCTTCAAGAATGAAGGGGAAAATGAGAACAGTTTTAAGGGAAACTAAGAGAATTTGTCACATGCAGACTTACCCTAAAAGAATGGCTAAAGGAAGTTTTCTAAGTGGAAAAAAACCATGAAAGAATAAGCATCAGGACATCAGGAAGGAACAACTACAAGTAAGCAATAATGTAGTTAATACAACTGGATTTCCTTAAGTTTTAAAAATTATGTTGGGCAGTTGAAGCAAAAATTATGTGTATCTAAATGTATATAGTGAAAAATATTTAAGACAATTACATTATAAACAGGGGTGTTGTAAGAGGACATAGAGGAAGATAAGGTTTCTATACTTCACTTAAACTGGTAAAATGATGATATCAGCAGATCGTGATAAGCTTTTAATATATCATGTAATACTTAGAGTGACTACTATAAATGCTATGCACAGAGATACACTTGAAAATGCTATAGATAAACCAAAAGGGAAATCTAACAATTGTTCAAGTAATCCACAAGAAGAAAAGAAAAAGAAAACAGAAATGCAAAACAGAGTATAAACATACAATAAAAAATGAAATGCTAGACTTAAGCCATAACAAATTAGTAATTACATTAAAAGTAAATTAAATTAAATGTAAATGATCTAAATATACCAGTAACAAACAGAGATTGGCAGAGTGAATTTAAAAGTATGTTCCAATGATATACTATCCATAATAAAATCACTTAAAACATAATGGTATAAGCAGCTTGAAAGTAAAATAATGGAAAAAGATATATCATACAAACATTAATCAAGCGAAAGTAGGAGTGGCTATATTAATATCTGATTTCCAAGCAAAGAAATACATCAGAGACAGAGATGGAGGTTACATAATGACAAAAGGTCAATCTACCAAGAAGATATAACAATCCTAAGTGTGTATACATCAAGCACAGGGTTGCAAAATATGTGAAGCAAAAATTAGAACTGAAAAATAGTAGAAAAATTCGCAATTAGAGTTATAGACTTTAACATTCTGCTTTCCGCAACTGATAGAATAACTAGATAGAAAATTAGCAAGGATACACAAGAACTCAACACCACCCGTCAAAGAACAGGATCTAACAAATATTTATAGAATATCCCACTCAGCAATAGCAGAATATGAATTATTGTCAAGTGCCCATAAAACACATACCAAGATGGTTAATATCCTATGGATAAAACAAATTTTAACAAATGTAAAAAACAGAAATCATGCGTCATGTGTTCTCTAATCACAATGCAATCAAACTAAAATCAATTCAGAATGATAGGGAAATATTCTAACCTATTGAAACTAAACAGCCCACTTCTACATAATCTGTGGGTTAAAATGCAAGTCTCAAGGGAAATAGAAAATATTAAACTGAATGATAAGGAATACATAATGTAATAAAATTTTGGGGGATACAGATAATCCAATTTTGAAGGAAACTGAAAGCACTAAATGCATCAGAAAGGAAGAAATGTCTCAAATCAATAATGTAACTTCTCATCTCAAGAACTTCAAAATAGCAGAGCAAAATAAAATCAAAGCAAGCAAAAGGAAAGAAATCATAAAGAGCAGAAATCATTAAAATTGGAAATAGAAAAACTAAGGCTATTTTTTAAAAATCAATAAAACTGACAAGCATCTAGCAAGACTGACAAAGAAAAAAAGAATATGCAAATTGCCATTATCAGGAATAAAATGGGGTATGTTATTACAGACCATGCAGATATCAAAAGTACAATAAGGAAATAATGTATTATGAATATTCATATACACATATATTTGACACATATGATGAAATGAATCACTTCCTCAAAAAACACAAAGCTACCACAATTCACTCAATATGAAATGAATGGTTTGAATAGCTCTGTAACAATTCAGAAAATAAATTCATAATTTAAAAACTCTTAAATATCCAGGCCCAGAGGGTTTCATTGGAGAATTTGGGACCCTAATACCAAGACTAAATATCTAATACAGAACTAACACCAATTCTACACAATCTCTTCCAAAAAGCAGAACAGGAGAAAACACCCTCCAATACTTTTTATGAAGCTAATATTACCATGATATCAAAACCAAACAAACATATTGACAGAAAAAAACTGCAAATCAATATCCCTCAGGAAAACAGACACGAAAATCCTTAATAAAACACGACAAATAGAATTCAGTAATATATATGAAGAATTATATATCAAGACTAAATAGGGTTTATTTCAAGGATGCCAACCTGGTTCAACATTGGAAAATCAATTAATGTAATCCACCATATTAGCAGAATAAAAAAGAAAAATCAGGTGATAACACCAGTTGATACAGAAAAAGCATTTGCCCATCACTTATGATAGAAATTCTTGAAAAAGAAACAGGAATAGGGGGCAACTTCTTTGCTTGCTAAAAAGCATTAAAGAAAACCTACAGCAAACATTGTATTTCATCATGAAAGTCTGAATGCTTTCACTCCAATATCAAGGACAATGCAAAAATGTCTGCTCTCACCACTCTTATTCAACATAGTGCTCAAAGTTCTAGCCAGTTCATTAAGTAAAGTAAATAAAGTCATGCAAATCAGAATGAAAGAAAAGTGTTCTATTTGTCAGTGATATGACTGCCTACATACAAAATGCTATGGAAAACTCCTAGAATTAGTGAGTTCAGCAAAGTTGCAGGATACAAGATAAATATATAAAAATCAGTTGCACTTGTATATACCAACAATGAACACATGGAAATTAAAATTAAAAATACAATATCACTGTCAATTGCTAAAAAAGCTCTTTAAATACTACTCAAATACATATAAAAAACATGTATTCAGAATGTATAAAGAATTCTCAAAACATAACAGGAAAAATACAAAAAAACAAAATCTAATTATAAAGTGGGCAAAAGACAGGAGATATTTAATGAAAGAGGATACGCGGAAGTCAAATAAGCACCTGAAAATATTTTCAACATCATTAGCAAGTAGCAAAGTGCAAATTAAAACCACAAAGAACTACCATTACAGACCCTATCAGAAAAGTTAAAGTAAAACGCAGTGACAAATTCAAATACTGGTAAGGATTCAAAGAAACTTGATTACTCATACATTGCTGTGGAAATGCAAAATGGTACAGCCAGTCTGCAAAACTAAACTGTTTCTTTAAAAAACTAAACATGCAAATACCCTGTGACTCAGCAACTGCACTCCAGAGACATGACAACTATGTTCACACAAAAAACTGTACAGGAATGTTGATAGCAGCTTAATTCATCATAGCCCCAACCCAGAAACCACTCAGATGTTTGTCAATGGATAAATGGTTAAACCAACTATGGCACATCCGTACCATGGAATACTACACAGCAATAAATAATAACTACTGATACACACTACAACCTAGAAGAATCTCCAGAGAATTGTTTCTTGAAAGGTTACACATCATGTGATTGCATTTATAAAAGACTCTAAAAATGACAAAATTATAGAAATGGAGAACAGATTGCTGACTGCCATGGCTTAAGGAGCAGGCAGGAGCAGGAGGCAAGTGGGTAGGATAATAAAAGGCAAGGTAAGGGGTCTTCTTCATGATGCAAATGTACATCTTGACAGTATCAATGTCAGCATCCCGGTTGTGATGTTGTACTATAGTGTATTAGTCCATTTTCATGCTGCTGAGAAAGACATACCTGACTGGGCAATTTATAAGGAAAAAGAGGTTTAATGGACTCACAGTTCCATGTGGCTGGGGAGGCCTCACAATCATGGTGGAAGGCAAAAGGCATGTCTTACATGGCGGCAGGCAAGAGAGAATTTGTGCTTTATAAAACCTTTATAAAACCATCAGATCTTGTGAGACTTATTCACGATCATGAGAGCAGCACAGGAAAGACCCACCCCCATGATTCAATTACCTCCCACCAGGTCCCTCCAACAACACATGAGAATTGTAGAAGCTACGATTCAAGATGAGATTTGGGTGAGAACACAGCCAAACCATATCATATAGTTTTGAAAGATGTTACTATTAGGGGAAAATTAGTAGGAATACATAGCATCTCTCTGAATTATTTCTTGTAACTATATGTGAATCTACAATAATCTCAAAATAAAAAGTTCAACTTAAAAAATGGGAATACTGTAAGTAATAATTCTCCAAATAATAAAGTAAGATGGATCCTATCTCAAAATGCCACATCATTATTATTTAGTGCCCAAATGAGACTTAAGACAGTTAGAAGCTTCGATATACAGGGTGTAGTTACTATGACTCACTTAAATGTTATTGAAATGCTGTTTCCTGTTCCAGTTTCTGCGGTGAGGCTCTAATGGAGTTTATACTTAGCAAAAGTGAAAAGACTGACTTTGCTTTATGTATGTCTCTCTATTGTCCTAGGTCATGGTTTTCTGGTACCTGGTACTGCCATTAATGTTTCAGGAGCTGTTTTTCCCCCACAAGACAAGAGTCTTATTCTGTTGCCCAAGCTGGAGTGCAGTGGCATGATCTCAGCTCACTGCAACCTCCATCTCCCAGGTTCAAGTGATTCTCCTGCCTCAGACTCCTGAGTAGCTGGGATTACAGGCGCATGCCACCACGCCCGGCTAATTTTTGTATTCTTAGTGGAGATAGGATTTCACCACGTTGACCAGGCTGGTCTCGAACTCTTGACCTCATGATCTGCCCGCCTTGGCCTCCCAAAGTGCTGGGATTACAGGCCTGAGTCACTGTGCCCAGCCAGGAGTTCTTATTTCTGCACATCATCCCAGCTTGTTTCCCATTAAAAGCTCCACATTGCCATTCTTTCCCTCCTCTGCCCCAACTTAAACTGCACTCCTAACTCCTAAGCGAACTTAACATAGCAGTGTATAATCACATAATCACATGTGAATTACTAGTAAGTTTAGCCCTCCTTTTGAATGTCTTGTATTCAATAAAAACAAAAATAATTCAAACATAGTCTTCTGTTGGTAGAATGGCTGGGCATGGTGGCCTGTAATCCCAGCACTTCGGGAGGCTGAGACAGGAGAATCGCTTGAAGCCAGGAGTTTGAGACCAGCCTGGCCGACATGGTGAAACCCCAACTCTACTAAAAATAGAAAAATTAACCAGGCAGGTGGCACATGTCTGTATTCCCAGCTACTTGGGAGGCTGAGGCACAAGAATCGCTTGAACCCAGGAGGCGGAGGTTGCAGTGAGCTGAGATCGTGCCATTGAACTCTAGCCTAGGCAACAGAGTGAGACTCTCTCAAAAAAAAAAAAAAAAAGTAGAATGCTTGGGAAAGATCCAGTATTTCATAAGCAGTGGATGACTGTAGTTGTAAATGAGCCAGGCAGGGACCATGCAGACTCTCTTTGACTTCTCCCATATGGATTTTAGAGAAGGAGAATGAGGCAGAGCTGGAAAAATGCCCAAGTGTGTGCTTGTCCTCCCCTTTCTCCTGTCTCCAACTCTCTCCCATCTCCCTGTGGTCCTTCTCTAATTTGTAAAGATCTTAATGAGACCATTAATTGTTTTCCATTATTTTGCATGTCAATGTCCTTTTTAATGAAATGAGTTAATCAAATTTTTGCTGCAAATCCCTACTTCCTCATTTTCCGTGGATTTAATGCACACACTTGCTTGGCTTGTTACATTGTGTTTTTCAGCAATGTGACTCTGTGTTAGCTCCACGATGGGGAAGAGGCTAGAGGAAGGCGAAGCTTGACTGTACCTGCAAGATAACACTTGCTGAAAAGGCACCATGTCATGATCTCAGAAGGCATGCGTGATGGACTCTATTTACCTGGTCCCATTTCTCTAACCAGTCTCCTTACACTATGCTTTCCACCTCATCTCTTACTGTCCTTTTAACCACTGGCAGAGTTCTGCCTCCAGGAGCCAAGCTCAAATTGCTGTCTCTTAATCAAACCCAAGAGACTTGGCCAACTTTCACCATTGTTAGCCATTCGGCAGGTTTTGGCCCGATCACCTACTTCCTTCCTTGAACAACTTTCCTCCTCCAGTATCTTTGAGGCTGCCCTTCCTGGTTCTCCTTACTGTGAGTCTGCATAGTGTCTAACTTGTCATCTGCCTCTGCATAGGGCACTGGCATTTCAGATGGCACGTTTCTGAGCTGACATTCTCCTGAAATGGGCGCCTTCCGCCTCTTTCCTCCCCACAATTCATGGCCATCCTTATCTCCTTCTTGTTCAGGCCAGATGCTTTGGTGTAGTCCTTGACTCTTCTTTCTCTCCCTCTTCACAACTGGTCCGTAAGCAAACCCTGCTTTCTCTTCCACAAAATAGATCTAGAATTAGAGCACTTCTTCCCGCCTCTTATCACGACTGTCTGGGGACCCTCCTTCACCTCTGACCTGAATTACTACAATAGTCTCCTTTTGGTCTGTTCTGTTCATCAATTTCTTCTTTTGCACCTCGTCTATTTATTCTCAACAGAAAATCCAGAGTGAAGATGTTAAATTGTAAGGCGGTCCAGTTATGTCCTTGCTCAAAACCCTCCCACAGCTTCCTGTCTCACTGAAGTAAAAGCCAGCCCTTAGGATGCTTACAGTATCGGTGCCCTCTTGTCCTGATTCATCGTCCTTTTCTCTGACCCAGTCACACCAGCCTCCTTGCTCTTGTGGAACATGCCCAGCAGACCCCTGCTCCATGGCCTTGCCCTTGCTTCCCGCTGGCTGAAACACTCTCTTGCAGACAGCGGTGTGGCCGGCTCCTCCTCCCCTGGCCACCCATCTAGACACTAAAAACCCTCATCCCCAACCCTTCATCTCTCCCTTTCCTCTTTTTTTTAACCTGTAGCACTTTTCACTGGTTTCTGTGGGGTATCATATATAGTATACATTGTGTAGTGCCTTTCTCTTCCACTAGGCTGTGAATTCAGTAGGCAGATAATCATGTCTTTTTTGTTGTTCCATTGCTGTATTTTCAGCACCTAGTGCCTGGCACATAATTGACATGCAGTAAATATTTTTGCATGAACTGAATGCATGATTCTCTCCTCCATCCTTTGTTTCTCTTCCTCTGTTGCGTCCTCTCCTTTCTTGGATCTTTTTTCTTCCTCAGCTTTGTGAATCTAGATAGCTCCCTAAAGTTTTTCCTTGGTGCTGTCATTTTTTTTTTCTTTTTATCTTTTTTTTTTTTTTAGATGGAGTCTTGTTCAGTTGCTCTGTCGCCCAAGCTGGAGTGCAGTGGCGCGATCTCGGCTCATTGCAACCTCTGCCTCCTGAGTTCAAGCAATTCTCCTGCCTCAGCTTCCCCTGGGATTATAGGCATGTGCCACCTTGCCCAGCTAATTTTTGTATTTTTTAGTAGAGACAGAGTTTTGTCATGTTATCCAGGCTGATCTCAAACTCCTGGCCTGAAGTGATCCGCCCACCTTGGCCTCCCAAAGTGCTGGGATTACAGGCATGAACCACTTTGCCTAGCTGGTCATCTTGTTTTTATTACATAACTTTCCTCCATCCTTTCTTCCACCATCTTCCTTCCCTTCATTATTGACCCTCCCTCCAATGAACCTCCACACCCCCAAACTTCTCATGGGTTTCTGAGACTGTAGTTAGGAGTGTTAAGCACCCCAGGTCCTGTAGGGCAAGAGATACAAGGGTACAGTGTATATTCACACAGAGACAATTTCAATACAGTTTATCATAAGGACTTCAGGTTCTAGCTTATGTTATAGGGATAAGTGTGTATGTCTTCTTCTTTCCTTCTGTCTGGTGACCTCCTTAGGGGCAAGAACTGTGCATTACTTATTTGTATTCATCCACCCTCCATCTTTTCATCCATGCATGCATTTATCAACAGCTATCTGTCAAGCACCTATTGTATGCCAGGTTCCATACTAGGGCTCTGGGAATGTGGAGGTTAGATAAGAACAGAGAGGCTTTAAAAGCAATCAGAAGACTTTATCATTTCTTGTTATGAAGATCAGGCATGCAGCAAGAAAAGGAGACTACTATGGTAGTATAGGCAAGAAATTAAGGTAGCTTCTAAAGGAGGTGTTTATGGTAGATACGAGTAGACAAATGTGAGAGATATCTAAAAGAAGGCTTAGATATAATAGTCTTTCAACAGTAATTACCGAATGAAGTAACTTGTCATAGAAGGAAAGTGTGGCTTATAAGAGTTCAGGATTGTACAGATCTGAGTTTGTCTCCTTCAAGCTCTTCTGCTTAAGACCTGCACGGCTTTAGGCAAATTACCTAACCTCTCTAAGCTTTAGTTTCCTTAGCTGTCAAATGGGGACATGAGCAAAAGGGATAGAGTTTCCATGGACAGAATGAATCAATGCTTGTAAAGTGATTAGCACAAAGTCTGGCACTAACTGACTCTAAAATGCTACTACTTACATTATAATAAATGTTAAATACCATTCTTTAAAGAGTAACAAATGGTTATTTCCACACAGGTTGGAATATCACTCTATTAAGTAGAAATAAACTTTAAATTATGTCCATGTTTTCTGGTACAGGTGGATATAGGGTGAAAATGCGTACAGTCCTCAGAGAGTATGACCATCAGTGAGCTCACGCTGCTAGAACAGAAGGGATCATTGTAGAACAAAGCAACAGAAATGCCCAGGTCTCCCTGGGCACGGTCCATTGTGCATTAAACATTGGGCAAGAAGGTCACTTAGAGTCATGGTAATTGCAGTACTGATGGATGGCAGCAGGTAACTATTTCTTCTGCCAGAGATTTTTATCTTTTGAGGAAGGGGAGAAAGCAAGAGGCATTCAGTGGAGCAATTCTGGTTGTCTGCGGACCCTGTGGCTGTTCAGGTAGAGAGGACAGGGATGAAAGTGTGGATGATGTTTAAGGCACCCTTGAGGTCCTCTACATGAGTTTTCTTTAGTAACCTTAAGTTCTCCACTAGTTCCTAGTAAAGGGGCAATGTCTAAATATTGGGTGGAAACACCCAAACAGCCATTCTTCTGTCCACATACATCATGGTAAGGCCACAGAACTCTTCAAAGATATGACTCACAGCTGTTTAATGTTCCATACATAATATGAACTCTTTTTGATGTTCTTGTTTACAAAGAGGTAAATTTTTTTTGAGATAGAGTCTCGCTCTGTCGCCCAGGCTGAAGTGCAGTGGCACCATCTCAGCTCACTGCAACATCCGCCTTCTGGTCACGCCATTCTCCTGCCTCAGCCTCCCGAGTAGCTGGGACTACAGGCGCCCGCCACCATGCCTGGCTAATTTTTTGCATTTTTTTTTTAGTAGAGACGGGGTTTCACCATGTTAGCCAGGATGGTCTCGATCTCCTGACCTCATGATCTGCCCGCCTCGGCCTCCCAAAGTGCTGGGATTGCAGGCATGAACCATTGCACCTGGCCACAAAGAGGTAAATTTTTGATGGGACACAGTGGACTTTCAATTCAGTCTTTAATTGCTTATAGGCTAATATTAACTTAAAATAGCCCAAGCAGTGGTATCCCAATCCACCCTAGCTTGATTTTCTCTACTGTCATTTAGCTTAATTTGGACCTTTTGTTGTATGTAGATTCATATTAATTTTTATCTGAGACATCAAATCCCAGAGTCTAATCATATTATTTTTTATAGAGGCCTTTGATAGTGAATATGGCATTTAGATGAGAAACTCTAAGATCAGGTACAATGATGAACACAGAACAGATGCTCAAAAAACCCTCTGTGATTGGTTTAAGAGAAGAGCTTCACTGAAGAAGATTATGCTGAGGGTGTCTAACATGTGTATAAAAAAATGATCTGAGGAAGAAAATGTCAAATCTCCTTATCATATATTTATTGCTTTCCTTTTTGTTAATTAGAACAAACCAATCAGTTTTTCTATGTCTTGTTCTTCCCGTATGTAAAACACCATTTATTGGAAAGCAACTGGCTACAGTATTAAGAGAACTTGTAATGCGCTCTGCTATTTCTCAGAATGCCCATTTCTCTGAGTGGGAATAGTCAAAGATGTTGAGTTACCCTTCATATTCTACCATTCAGTAACAAAGCCTACTAAAAGAAAATGTCCATGTGTTATTAGAAATTCAACTTTACAGGAAAACATTCTGAATTCCAGTATTTCAAAACCCTGCTCCATTGATCTTGAGGCTGCTACCTTTTCATCCCTTCCTTTGAAAGGAAACATCATAAACTGGAGAGAGAGTGATTCCTGCAGCGTGGTCTACATGGTTCAGGCTGAAATGTATTCATTAATTCACTGTTTGTGAAGCATTCATTCCGTGCCAGGCAAAGACTGCTGTGCTTTGGAGGCAGTCAGCCTCTCTTGGGAGAGACATTAGTGTAAACTTCTCAGAGATTTTACCCTGGAAACACTTCAGGGCCCCTGAGAACAAAGAACCATGAGGTCACCGGGGAGACAGCACATCTTCTGCTTTGGATGGTCAGGGGAAGGTTAGAGGCAGGTTGGCAAAATGGTACTTTCTAGGCAGAGAACAACATTATGATCCAGACTCAAAGGGATGGGCACAGAGCAGCCTACCGCTTGTTAAACAGTTTGGGCTTTTGCAGCTGGGCACGGTGGCTCAGGCCTGTAATCCCAGCACTTTGGGAGGCCGAGGCGGGTGGATCACTTGAGGTCGGGAGTTTGAGACCAGCCTGGCCAACGTGGTGAAACCCTCTCTCTACAAAACATACAAAAATTAGCTGTATGTAGTGTCAGGCACCTGTAATCCCAGCTACTCAGGAGGCTGAGGTGGGAGAATTGCTTGAATCTGGGAGGCGGAGGCTGCAGTGAGCCTAGATCATGCCACTGCACTCCAGCCTGGGCAACAGAGTGAGACTCCATCTCAAGAAAAAAAGAAACAAACAAAAAAAAAACGCCCAAAATCCAAACAAACAAAAAAAGAATTTGGGCTTTTGCTAAAGGCTGTGAAACTTATTTTTTTTTGGTAAAGTATATATAAAATTTACCATTTTGACCATTTTTAGGTGTACAGTTTAGTGGCATGAAGTACATTAATACCTTTGTGGAACCGTCTCCACCATGCATCTCCAGAACTTTTTCCATCTTGCAAAACTGAAACTCTGCACCTATTCGCCCATAGCCATCCATGCCCCCTCTCCCCAGACCCTGGCAATCACCATTCTACTTTTCTGTTTCTGTGAATTTGACTACTCTAGTGCCTCATTTAAGAAAAATCGTACAGTATTTGTTATTTTGTAATTGGCTTATTCCACTTAGCATAATGTCCTCAAGGTTCATCCATGTTGTAACATGTGTCAGAATGTCCTTCCTTTAGAGGGTGACCGTATCAGTTTGTTCTCATGCTGCTAATAAAGACATACCTGAGACTGGCTAATTTGTAAAGAAAAACAGATTTCATGGACTCACAGTCCCACATGGGTGGGGAGGCCTCACAATCACGGCAGGAGGTGAAAGGCACGTCTTACTACACGGTGGCAGGCAAGAGAGAGAATGAGAACCAAGTGAAAGGGATTTCCCCTTATCAAACCATCAGCTCTCATGAGACTTATTCACTACCATGAGAACAGTATGGGGGAAACTGCCCCCATGATTCAGTCATCTCCAACCAGGTCCTTCCCACAACATGTGGGAATTATGGGAGCTACAATTCAAGATGAAATTTGGGTGGGGACACAGCCAAACCATTTCAGTAACTGATACTTCATTGTATTTATATGTCACTTTTTGTTTATGGTGGTCACTTGGGTTACTTCCACCTTTTTGTTATTGTGAATAATGCTGCTGTAAACGTGGGTGGACAAATCTCCCTTCAGTTTCTTGCTTTCAATTCCTTTGGCTATGTACTCAGAAGTGAAACTGCTAGATCATATGGTAGTTCCATGGTTTATTTTTTTGGAAGAACCGCCATACTTTTGTCTGCTTTCCAAGTGCAGCTTGCATATATATATATTTATTATACTTTAAGTTCTAGGGTACATGTGCACAACGTGCAGGTTTGTTACATATATATCTATGTGCCATGTTGGTGTGCTGCACCCATTAACTCATCATTTACATTAGGTATATCTCCTATTGCTATCCTGGAGAGACAGACTAATCAGCTTGGTTTAGAGAACTCATTTCCTGCTCTGAGGAGAATGGAAAAGAGGGGCAAGGCTGGATTTGAGCTGTTGTGCAAACGGATTAGAGATGGAGATGTGATCAGAGGCTGTCTGTTGTGGAAGAGGACAGAGGATGAACTGCAGAGATTTTCAGAGAAGTACAGTCAAGTGCTTAATGATGTTGGTGATCTGGCATCACCAATAACTAGTCTCTGACATGAAAGAAAATTAAAAATAGAATAAATCCTAAATTACTGAGTTAACTGGGAAGGGATGGAGAATGGAATAGCACAAGAAGTGAGAGGACGGGAGGAAGAGGGGTAAGAAAATGGGAAAGTGGGAAAGAGAGGGATGGGGCATTCAAGAAGAAAGGAAAAAAGACCTGGCAAAAAAGGATCTCATGTATAAGAAAAGATCATGTTTATGAAAAGACGATCATTTGGGCTTGTATGTAACAACAAATGCAGTTAAAAAGATGTTCTTTAGACGTGGTGGAGAAAGTCAGGACAAGAAAGACATAGACAACTAGCTGGTTACTGGCACCAGCTAGATGAACCACTTTTGTCAATGTGGCTTAACTGAATTGACTATTTAACTGAGCACAAAGATTTCACTGGCTTTGGGTTTGAATGCAACACAAACTTTTTGTTTCAGAGATTAGAGATAGGAATTCACATTCTAAAAGAATTCATGAATGCTCCATCATGAAAGTAAGAAAATTAATACCCACAGTTTGTAACAATGGGCTTCATGCAGTTGAGCTGAGAAAACCCTAAGATTAGCTATACAGTCCAGGAGCCACCCATATTTAGGAAAACACAGGGCTGCCAGCGTATGTTTGTAAGAACAATTAGAATGAAGATTATCTTCCTGAAGATACCAAAGAGCAAGAGGCAAAGAGCACCAAATGAATTCAAAACTATTTCTAGTGCACATACTGCAGGAAACCTCATTTAGTCATATTTTAGAATGGATATGCTATGCAAACAAGTATAATTTCTGTGCAAGACAATTCTGCATCTATTCAGTGTGTCTGGATGAAGTTTTTGAAACACACTGAAAAAAATATATTGAATAGATTTTAATGTCAGTGAAAGGGGCTGGATTGAAGTACCTAGACTCATTTGTGTGCTTTGCTAGGGAAACCTCTTTGCCAAGTAAGTTCCTCTAACTTTGACCTTGAGGGAGCTAAGCTGGTTCAGAGGAGGAGGAATCAGTGGTTTTCTAGCTGCGATCAGATTTAAGTTTTCCTTAGTCCATTCCCTACAGACATTTATATAGTAGTGGTTTTTCTTACAATAGTCACTGGGAAACAATAACCAATTAAGTGAAAACTTCATACCATTTGCTCCTCTAATGCTGTTTTTATGTGACCTTCTCATTTGTAGTTTGACATCTTTTGGAGGTGAAATATCTCTGGCTGTAAAACTCTTCCATTTGTATAGAAGCTTGTCTTTAATCCCAAGTAGCCATTATTAACTCCCTTGGGCAATTTGGGTCAACCTTTTTTATCTTGGTATTCATGTGGGAAGAAGGCTGTTTACTTAGCGGGGTTTAGACATGGGGAAAGAAATGACCACTCCCAGTCTAGGGGCTTATGCTCATTTGTAACCTATCCTCATATCCCTATGTTCTTCACTTTTTTCTGCTCTTCTTTATTTTATGTAATGTGTGTGTACCTGTGTTTACATTAATATCTGTGAATAATTTCCAGCCTATTGTGCACATGCTCCACCCCCCCCCAACCAGATAGATTAGATTATAAATGATAATCTCTGGGATGACAGAGAGGGCACTTTTGCCTCTTTAAAAATACCCCTTTTCCTCCAAAATCATCACAGACAGGTTTGACTCTGCAGTGAATATCCTTTAGTGCATTTGGCTGAATGAAGTCCAAAAAAGTAACCATAATAAGACATTCCTGGACAAAGGCATTTTCCACAGAATCACATTAGGCAGACTTGGCAGATGCCATGTGATAAAGGAAAACAGTGATTTCTGCTCATGACAATTTTGCAAGCCTTAAAACCAAATTTCCAACTGTAGTTTTTCATTTCCTATCTCTTCGAATAATAGGATTGTTTCTAATTTAGGCAAAATTTGCCTAAATCTGGTATTTAGGCTAAATCTGATATTTAGGCAAGCCTAAAGAGTTCTGTTACTGTTACAAATGGTATTTTAGTTGTCATTAGTTTATGACATGATAGGAGTGATTTTTTCCCCCATGACATTCCAGAGAATTTTACTGGAAGAATAATCAAATGTGATGTTTCAGATAAATAACAAAGGTTTATGTTAGTCATGCCATAAAGTACTCTGCATCTTTCCTTCTGACATCTGAATCTCTGTAAGTTACACAAATATGTGTTCCTTCTGCATGATGCATAGAAATCCACCCACCCTCCCCCCAAACCTGTACTCACATAGATTCTTAATTTAAAAATGTGAATGGAAAAGTTATTTTTCTGGAATTCTAGAGTTCATGAGGTTGTTTGCTTGAAATTGTCAACTCCACCTGAAATCTTACCATTTTGCTGATTTTCGTCACGTTTTGTTTTAAGGATAGGCCACACAGGATATATTAGCACACATCACTCTCAAATAATTAATGGACTACTTTATAAAATTGCTCCAGAATATTAAAAATCCAAAGCATTGCCCCAAAGTATAGGTCTCTCATGCCTAAGCAATCATCTGTAGTTGCAGTTGCTATTTTTGACTGACATATAAGAATCAAAATTGAATTCATTTCTAATATACACCGTATACTCACTGAGTTATGTGAACAAATGGGAGAGCTAATTGAAATGATTAAATAACACTAAGAAATGAAGAAACATGAAAAATACAATATGATCGGACACTGCCAAAACAATCAGTACTAGACGGAGCTGACACTGAAAAATGTAGTCTAGTTTTAAAATTATCAGTGATGAAGACTCTCATTATGCTACAAATGTACCAGCACTGTTCCAGTTACAATTTGGAAATCCCAGGGCTGTTTGTCCTTCTGGATGAAGGTGACGACAGGACTAACATATCTGGACTCTCTAAGAAAAATCCTTTAGAGAAGTGAGGTTTCATTTTTGTTAGGTTGAGTCATTATTATCCTTCAGTATTAAGTTCTGTAGGGTGTAGGTTATGGGAAGTTTTTTTTTGGTGAAGAAGTTGGTGTGAAAATGTTCATCAGTGAGATGTCTAGAGCTTCTTGACAGCACTTTACAGGGCTGGGTGTTTGAGATGTGTATCAGAACCGCATTCGCTGAAATTACATTGATATTTAATGGAAGATTCTCCATAGCCTTGCTTGGAGGAAATTAAGCTGGCCACTATCACCATTCCCTACTCTAAATTTTGCCACTTTCAGTAGAGGAGGGTGTTCAGACATGTTGTTCTTTGTGTCTCTGTTGGGGATTTTGGAGTCAGGATTTTGATCCCAAGCTCCTTCTTGCATTGGTTATACGGTTTTTCAAACCTTGAAGGAAAAGAATGGAAAGATTTGATAATGAATGTACTTCAGTTTAACATCTACGTTAATTTGCTATGTCAAATTAATGTTATCAGTTTTTAAGGCTATACCTGTTATGTTTCTTAATACCATCATTATACAAACAAATCTCTGTTGAGAAAGAGTAGAAAAGAGAATAAAAGTGTAGAAATATGGTAATAATAATACCTGCCATTTCTTGAGCAATTAATCTCCTTGTGCATTAGTTTCTTGTCTATAAAATGAGGAAGATATTAGTAAAATACATGATTAAGTGAGCAAATACACATGAAGTGTTTTTGTAGCTTATAAGTTATAGCTAATACTGAATAAAGATTCAATACAGCTAGGTACCAGGTATGCTAAGCATTCTCCACAAATCACCTCTTCTGTCCATGAACACAAGTCTATCAGGCAAGTATTTCCAGCTTCTTTGTTGCAGATGAGGAAACTGACACATAGGGAAATTAAATAATCTGATGAGGTCACAGAACAAGTAGCTCTCCTAGAATTTGAAGTTTGATTTGTCTGACTCATGTTTTCAACTCTTTCACTAGTTCAGTCGTTTGTTTTCATCGCTATATTGATTTCCAAATAAGGATTGGGATTACTACTCCATTAGATTGCATTGAAAAGGCAATATAATAAGGATATCCTTAACTAATACTTCAAAATAAATTATAAATCAAGTTAGTTACATTTGATTTATCAAAATTAATGTTTTATGGTTATAGAACATGACAAGTTTATTTTCACTTTGGGGACTTTTGTTTTCTCATGAACTGTTGAAATTAGCTCATTCCATTAATAATATATTGGCTTTCACTGTTACATTTTTATGTAACAATCATGTAATGATCACATAATGATTATGTAATGATTATGCATTATTAAACAAAAGAACCCTAATAACATTTGCAATCTTTGGATTACAAATACTACTAACTTCAATTTCTCATTCTTATGTTCAACTATTTGATACAGATATATTTTTATACAATTTAAAGGGTTAAGCACAAAGACCACCATTACTAATTCATTTGGTATTCATTTTAAGACCTTTAATCGTGATGCATTAATTTGGTATAAATGTGGATATATTATTTCTTAACAATTCCACTGGAATTTACCAGTTAAATTGTCTAGTATAATTTCAACATCTTCTCAAATATGCATCAAAGTATAAGGTTTTGGTTATGAAACTTCCAAAGGTGAAGAAAGAGTCAAAGCATTTTTTTCTTTTCACAGGCGATATTGTAATACCCAATGGAAGGATGGGGTCATGGACGTCATGAAAAAGCCAGGGTAAAACTATCCACAGTTAATAATGCAGAAAAACATACTGTAGTGTGTTTGATTTAAAATTCCTGGGATTTAATGTACAAAGCTTTAGAACCAGTCCAATCCATGCAAGACAAAATCAACCAGGCTGCTGTTTGGCTTTGTAAATGGCTGAGATGTAACTTAAGAGAGGGAAGCTTTTGATTGTAAATAACCTCCCAGCCTTCATGCTGCTCTGACCTCTGACG
Source organism: Homo sapiens (assembly GCF_000001405.40). Classification (NCBI taxonomy): domain Eukaryota; kingdom Metazoa; phylum Chordata; class Mammalia; order Primates; family Hominidae; genus Homo; species Homo sapiens. The sequence goes on along the minus strand of NC_000010.11, from coordinate 10,487,295 downwards.
TGGCCACTTGGCCATTCTACAATTTAAATTTTACAACTGTGCTATAAGTAAAACATTGGCAACTAATATCTAATAATAATAGTAACAAAGTAGAATACACGATCCAAGAAGAGCTGTCTTGAAAGGACAAAAGAAGACATTGCAGCATCCCCATTTGCTGAGAGCCATCACAGAAATCATAGGAAGCCAGCAAGATGTCTATTCTGAAACATGTCTACTTGTCCTGATACCTTTAAGCATAAAATGCTTCTACATTCTCTATGCAAGTGAAACACACCCCTAGGCATATACGATGGACAGGGAAATTTAATTTTATACTAGGGGAATGAAGAGATGGGATAGGAAGATAAATGTCAAATTGCTGCTTTGAGCTTTTTATAGTAATTCCTCTCTGCTCCCTTTTTGCCTTTCCTGACCTTTAGTGGACTGAGTCTTCTCCATCATCATTAGATCCTTCTGCTTTTAACACATGTCAATGGCTTCCTAAGTTAGGGTACAAACTCCAGGACAACAAACCCAAGAATGTTTATCTAGATTACTTTTCAAAATCCAATATAGGTTGAGCATTCTAAATCTGAAAATCCAAAATGCTCCACAGTTCAAAACGTTTTGATCACCACTGACATGACGCTCAAAGGAAATGCCCATTGGAGCTTTTCAGATTTCAGATTTTCAGGTTTGGAGTGCTCAATCAGGTAAGTATAATGCAAATATGACAAAACTCTCCCCATAATAAAAGGCCAAAAATCTGAAACACATTGGGTCCCAAGCTTTTGAGATACGGAATACTCAACCTGCTGTATAATGAATAGTAAATAGCATGCAATGGTGTAAAATGTAAAAGTTACTTTTGTATGAAGACAAAAAATGCAATTTATTAGAGAAGACTCATTTGAGCTCTGATGTTTAGCAGTTGCTCTCTCTAGATCACAAATTAAATCATGGTATTAAAATCATTATGGGGCCAGTTTCTAAGCCTTTCTATGTGCACTTGCATTCCTGTGTGGGTTTAATTAACCAGTGAGAAAAGGAAAAGGTTGGAGTTCTTTACTGGTGTTTGTATTATCTGTTGATTGTTTTCCTTAGTGCTTTTTCCAGTCTAGATTTAGAAGCTTGAGAATGAAGACCACCATTTCCACCTCTACCACAGGCTCTTGGAGCCTCATTGACATTTCCGGGAGAATAAAGAACATACTACTGGAGAGGCTGTAGCATTTCTTCAATATCTGAATGCCATTATTCTATGTTTCCATGATTCTAATTCTACTCCATGCTCTGATGCATGCAATTAACTCATTGGAAAATGGTCTTTCTTGACATGACTGCTGAGTATAGAATGTAAAAGTTTCTGATCACAAACTTTGATGAATACAGGGGTGATTTCACTTCCTCTCCTGTATTTCTCCACATTGTAATTGTCAGTTATTATTTTTAACACAAGTAAGCTTTCGATTTATCCTGATTATAATGATGTTGTAGGGCTCTGTTTTGCACTTTCATGCCTATTTTAGGAACGGATAGGATAGAGACAGTTAAATCCAGTGACAATCACTGCAACCCTCCCAGGAGTATTCTGGGAAGAGGTGCTATATAAACACAAAGCATTCTGCAAAAATGGTTGTATTCACCCTCATAACATCTCATGAGGTAGATGCACTGTGAACATTGTTAATATAAAGCTGCTAGTGCCACAAATAGAGCAGAGATTATTTTCTCTCCCTGCATGGGGAATGACACCATTTTCCTCACATTTCTTAAGAGGAATTATCCATTGGACTGCTTTGTGAATGGCAGCCTTGCATGTATTTGTCTGATTGTTCACACTTGTAACCAAAAGACTTGTTTGAGATGAAAAGCAATATCCTGGGCTTAAAAGTTTATATGTGTACAGGTGCTTCCCACTGCAAACCAAATTGGAAAAGGCTAACATAGGATGCTAAAATAAAAATGAGTAGAACTGTTTATTAGAGAAGAGCATCTGTTGAACAATGCTATGAACACCTGTCACCTCTGGACGATCACGCCTTCTAATTGCGGGTCCTTGGCATTACTCATCACTGCCTTAAACATTTTAATCAAGATTATACTGTAACAACATGAATTTTATCTTAGCAATAATGATCAGAAATGGTAGGCAATGTAATTGAATCTATTATCAATCCCTGAATGAGGAGTTGACTCTTCTGTAAGGCCAATCCCCTTGGCAGATCATGTAAAAAAATATTACTGGGCTGCCCCAGTGAAATGTCAGAGCATCCCTAGAGGGCAATTCCTGGTAGCATCAGAAAGAGTACATAAAGAGATATAAAGTACAAGCTGCTCATAAAGCATTATCCAGAAGCTATCTGAAAAGAGAAATTCAACAAAAGGGATATTTTCATTGGAAAATATCCTCTTCTTCAGGGCTGATATAGAATGCAGGATTTTAAAATAAAGTCCATATCCAGGATGGTAGATATACTGCCTAATTATTAGTTGTGCTAATTAAGAATGTCATTGTGTGATTTGATAGTATTTTATTTGGTATGTTTAATTTTTAGGTTCATCATCTATTGAAAGCCACATTAACATTTTTGGTTATTAAAATGTGCACACATGACCAGCTCCACATTGACTGGGGCTAGGCTTGTATTCCTAACCGACTGAAAAGCCACAAGTACTTTAGTTGAAAAGCTCTCTGGCAGGGTGTGGTGGCTCATGCCTGTAATCCCAGCACTTTGGGAGACCGAGGTGGGTGGATCACTTAAGTCCAGGAGTTTGAGACCAGCCTGGCCAACATGGTGAAACTCCGTCTCTACTAAAAATACAAAAATTAGCTGGGCATGGTGGCATGTGCCTGTAGTTCCAGCTCCTTGGGGGGCTGAGGCAGGAGAATCGCGTGAACCCAGGGGGCAGAGGTTGCAATGAGCCAAGATTGCACCACTGCACTCCAGCCTGGGTGACAGAGTGAGACGAGAGTGAGATGAGAGTGAGACAAGAGTGCAGGGGAGGGGGGAGGGAGGGAGAGAGAGAGGGGGGAGGGAGGGAGAGAGAGAGGGGGGAGGGAGGGAGAGGAGGGGGGAAGGGAGGAGGGAGAGAGACAGAGAGAGGAGGGGGAGGGAGGGAGATAAATGGGGGAGGGAGGGAGGGAGAGAGAGAGGAGGGGGGAGGGAGGGAGGGAGAGAGAGGAGGGGGGAGGGAGAGAGAGAGGAGGGGGGAGGGAGGGGGAGAGAGAGAGAGAGAAGGTGGGAGGGAGGGAGGGAGAAAGTGGGGGAGGGAGGGAGGGAGAAAGTGGGGGAGGGAGGGAGGGAGAAAGCGGGGGAGGGAGGGAGGGAGGGACAGAGAGAGAGATGGGAGAGAGAGAGATGAGAGAGAGAGACGAGAGAGAGTTGAGAGAGAGATGAGACACAGAGAGATGAGAGAGAGACGAGAGAGAGAGAAGGAGGGAAGGAAGGAAGGCAGGCAGGCAAGCAGGCTTTCTGCAAGAGGAATACAATTTTTTAACTTGTAGAGTTAAGGATTAAACTGATTTTCTTTACAGAATATTTTGCGTTGTTCAATTTGCTGCATTTTCAGAGTCCTCCTTTCAGCCTCTCACTGGACTGGACACCAGCCTGGTAGACAGAAAGTTTAGAAAATAAAATTGATCATAGAGAGATCTGACTGCTGTCTTTATTTCACTGCTAAATTAAGGTTAAGCAAAACTAAAGACACAGACAGCAATCTTAAAATTTTCTTAAGTAAACTGGTTGATTTATATTATAGGCAAAGAAAGGGGTCATTTTCAGATCTTGGAGATAATAATTGGCTAATAGAACATTTTACCCACCCTTCGGTTTGTGCATTCCTCAATTTACAGACTAATCATGTATTTACATACCCAGTGGACTCCTATGTGCTACCAGGAACTGTGTTATGCTTAGCCCAACTCACTATGAAATCTTCCAAGTGCTTTCAGAGGAATTGTTTTTCTCTCTATTTTATAAATGAGGACATAGATATTTGGAGAGGTCATCCCATGACATTTTAGGTCCTAAGAAACAGAGTTTGATTTGAACCCATTTGACTCCAAAGTCTATGCTTTTTTTTTTTTTTTTTTTTTGGTATTCTGCCAGTGTGGACTGAACTGTTTACCAAACATTTGTTTAGATTGTACCTGTGAGACTGTAACTTGTAAAGGTGACAGAAGCAACACGGAGAAGCAAAAGCCGTTGAGAAAAGTTTTTACCACTTATGGTTTCTAAGAGAAGGGGACACACCAGCCACATGAGGAAGTACCCGGCTCTTTAAGGAGGCAGAAGAAGGGAGGAGAAAACAGGGTCCAGCGCCTTTATTGTGTTTTCATGGGAAGGAAGGGGCCAGGCAGGTGAAGCAGCTGAGCAGGTTTAAAACTGGCTAGTTTAAATAATTTCAGTGAGCTCTGAGCTATCAAACAGTGACAGGGGAGGCGTCCTTTGTCATCCAGTACCTGGCACTGGAGCGATTTAGGGCAGGGAAATATTGCCTTGCTGTGTGAGTTAGATGAAGGGGGTGGCTGGCAGTGTGAGCTTTGGAGTGGTTGGTTTGTACAGGGCAGGTGTGTTCACAGGCGAGTTGTTTACTATCTGTAGGAATTAGCTCTGGGAGGGGCAGTCTCTCCAGGATTAGTAAGATGCTCCAAAATGTCAAAGCCTCATAAGACACAGAAAATAAAAAGCATAATCAATACACTGTTGTTTGAAAAAGAAAATTGTCTTTGGTGTAAGTTTGATAAATGTTGCAAACTTTGTACTTGGCTTGAATATTTACAATACCTACTGGCATAGTTAAGGTTGTATGAAAGTCTTACAGTGAAGGAAACTTTTTTAACACTTTAACCCAGAGTTTCTTACATTGATTTGACCATTTACAGCCAACTCCTATTAACATTAGCAGAACATTAATGCTATAAAAGCATAGTTTGGTAAATACCTTCCTTAACCAACTTTTCACGTATTTTAAATTAGGTGATTTATATAAATCTGTGATTGAACATTAAGCAAAACATACACTCTATACATTTTATGCATTGAAAATAATCTATAATGTTGCAAAAAACATACCATATGCATTGGGATATTTCTGAACAATTCTAACAGAATCTTTCCCCATGCAATGAAATGCATGAATACATAATCAACAATTTCCAAAATGGAATCTTCTGAAAGACATTTACTATGCAAACCACTCTTTCTCACAGACGCAGAGTGTATGTGCAAATCAATATTGTTCACCTATTATAGCAATTTCTATCATGCTAACCCTTATATCTGCTTAAAAAGATAGGAAAATGATCCTTAAGTTTAAGAACATCCAAAATGTGGCCATTGAGGATTCAGAATCATGCATTGCTAGAAATAACTTTTGCCTAAATTGGACCTTCTACATATGCAATGAGACCTGATTCTGTATTATTTCATGTACTGCTAAGCCTGTGTTTCTGCCAGTGAATAATTATTTTGAGTTATTAGAGGGAAAATGAAGCATAACATTTGCATGATTTCCCTCAAACTACAGAATTGAGTCGACAATTTACAATTAAAAGGGAAAAAATCATCACACAAAATATCGAGATCTGAAGACAAAGAAATGATATTGTTTCCTTTTCTCTTCTTCCCAAGACTTGCTGACCCAATTATTAATTTTCCAATAATGTCATATGTCATTCAAATGGCCAGGTACTGGTGTGACTTTTAGTTCTTTCAGAGTATCAGGGAGTGAGATGCCATCTTCAAATCTAAAATAATCCAGCTTCAAGGGGGAAATGGAGTGTGGGGAAGTTGATTACCTGAGATTTGGAGTTAAACTGGAGTTGAGAGAACTTTCTTCTTGTCATGCCTTTCCCCAAAGAAGTCTGTTTATGGAGGATAAAAGTGAGGGCTCACTTAATTAGCTCATGTACTCATTCAATAAATATTTATTATGGACCAACATATACTAGGTACATGATGGAAAACAAAGAAATTCCCTGTGTTATGGAACAAATTTTGAAGTGGAGACAAGTAATAAATAATTAAGCATGCAAATAAACATGAAAACATATAGGAATAAATGGCACACAGAAAGCACTTTAATATGATGGCAAGTGACTTATTAGCTACTCTAGTTTCAGTGGTTGAGGAAAGTCTCTATAAGGATACAATTATTTAGACTAAATAAGAAGGAGCGGGGAAGAACATTCCTCTTGAATTTTTTTTCAAAGTACTAACACTGAGCAAGATCTTTTTTTACCCCTGAAATGAAGTCTCACTCTTGTCAACCAGGCTGGAGTTCAATGGTGCGATCTCGGCTCACTGCAACCTCCGCCTCCCAGGTTCAAATGATTCTCCTGCCTCAGCCTCCCGAGTAGCTGGAATTACAGGTGCCTGCTACCACTGGGCAAGATTCTTTATCATGTGAATGATACTGCAGTGTAAACACCAACTAAAATAAAATTTATGGTGTTTGGAGATGAAAATCAAGCTAACTTGATGTTTAGAAAACAGTCCCCACATGAACAATTTATTGGGATGTTGATGATTCTCTATGCACTTTGAGTTTTCTGTATAATATAGTTTTTAGTTATCAATTTTCAGTCTTACTTTCAAAGGTAGTTGTTACATACCCATCTTCAAATGCTTAAGAGTGAGTTTGTTTCCTTCAATTTGGGAGTTTAGGAATCTGTGACCATCTATGTCCTTTATAGCAATGATTCTCAAATTAGGTAGCATCTTGCTCACTTAGGAAATTTGTGAAAATATGAATAGCTCATGTGTACCCCCTGTGATTCTACTAAGGACTATATTTCAGTGCATGGGACTCTGGGCTTTTATTAAGAGATTGTTTGCTATGTTTCTCTGAATTACCCTCAAATTGAGAGAGCCACACAGTGGGTCAGGAGAGCTTGGGCTATGGGTAGCTGCGTGCAGAGAAAAGAGTTCTGTTAGATAAGGGGAGCTGACTCTCAAATAAACCTGGTTATTATGCTAAGTTAAGGGGGATCCACTGCTTCAGTGCTCCTCTGGAGGGATTAATGGAGGTCATAGGTCCTTCAGACATGACTCAGAGGCCTGTTGGAGGAGGCTTTGGGCTCCCGTGTTTTCACAGAAACGCTCTTTACTGTTTTATATTTTGTGGTTACATGTATGACTTAACTAAGTTAAAGATTCTGCTTCTAAATAGATTAAATACCACCGAGCTATGTGGTGAAGAAAGAACCAGGAACAATTATTTCCGAAGACCCGCTGAAGTCAGATTCATAAATAAGATTCTAGATGCCAGAAATCATAGGTGAGATCCTGGGAGCCAGGCTAAATCTCCACTTGATCTTAGCCAAAAGGCTGAGAAATGATCAGGCTAAATCGCCAGGTCAGGCTTGATGATGCTTGGTTAAGACAATGAATGCACAGTTACGTTTTCTTTGCACAGAAAAAGGTAAAAAGGGTTAAATTGTGACTAATCGTAATAGTAATTCCCATTTATTAAGAAACCATGACATTTCAGGATTGCAAACGTTATGCAATTTATTCCACATAACGAATGTTTGAGGAAGATATTAATATTTTCACTTTCCAAGTGTGTAAACTTGAGTTTTAAAATATTAAATGACGTGTCCAAAGTCCCCTGGTAGATCAAGGACCTAAACTGAGGTCTGTGTGGTTCCAGAGCTCGTATTCTTAATCACAGCTTTCAATCAGACCCTACCTTAGAAAAAACAGAGCTCTTTGCCTGATTTCATTGGTGAGAATTATAGAAAAGGTGATGAAACCATCATGATACTTATCTCCTTACCATCACGATACTTATCGCGTTTCCATCATAACTTCCGTGTAGTTTGAAAATTAGTCTAGATGGGCCAGGTGCGGTGGCTCATGCCTGTAATCCCAGCACTTTGGGAGGTCGAGGTAGGTGGATCACGAGGTCAGGAGGTCGAGACCATCCTGGCCAACATGGTGAAACCCTGTCTCTACTAAAAATACAAAAATTATCCGGGCACGGTGGTGTATGGCTGTAGTCCCAGTTACTCAGGAGGCTGAGGCAGGAGAATCACTTGAATCTGAGAGTCAGAGGTTGCAGTGACCTGAGATTGTGCCACTGCACTCCAGCCTGGGTGACAGAGCAAGACTCCATCTCAAAAAACAACAAAAAAAATTAGTTTAGATGAACCATCTCTAATAAAGATGAGAAGATGGAGAAAGAGAATACTTCTTTATTCTCCATCTATCTCAGATTCTAAGAGGCAGTCCTTGCTTGAAGAAAAAGGAAGCAACGTAAAAAAATCAGAGCAGACAAGCGACCTGTCAGTCAGATAATGCCAGGAGAAGAGTGGGGATGGGCACATTGAAGCATGAACAAATCAAAGATTTAGAAGTCTTTCCAATTTTACCAAGCCATACCAAACCAAACCAATTAATTTAACCTACTCTTTGTGCTTTTACCTTATTATTGCTCATAAACCAGAAAAAATATTCTGTTGCTTCCAGTGATTTACACTTTGCTGTGAATGCTTTTAAAACTGAAACTGTCCCAGACAGAAATGATGGAGGTCTGCTTCCAAAAGTGTCTGGGGCCAAATAAAGACCCATTCAAGTGTGTCATGAATTTCTGACTTCTTACCATCACGATCCCTGCATGGGTAGCTTCATCTGTCATTCTGATTTAATAATTTATTTAGGGCGATCTCATATACTATAAGTGAGTCCAAATACATGGTGAGTCCAAATACAACCAAAACATCATTTTCCTCTAATGACTATATAACTGTATTTTTAGATTTAGGCACATTTAGAGAGAGTTTTATCGTGTATTACTGATTTTTTTTCTCCAAAACAAAATTAAATGTAATAATGCTGTAACTGCATCAGATGCTATCAAGAGGAACGTGTACATTAGCTTCTTCCTTTGGAAACAGGAATTTTCTGGTACATGTTTGTTTGAATATCAATCGGCACAAATCAAATATCCAAAATGTGTAATATACTTAATGATAAAAATACCTAACTGGGGTTGTGAGCTTCAGCAAATAAATAAAGCTTTTCATTGGCCAGATTCCAGCCTTCAGTGGGTGGAAACTCTTAATGTAATTGAGAACTAAATAGCATTGGAGTCTATGGTTTTTCCCATTCAAGTCTTGGCTTAGCTGCTGACAGTCAATTTTTGTGCCACATAACCTAATTTTTCTCAGACAAAAGATAGCAAATCTGATGGCTAACTTTTTTCCTGGAAGGGTATGTAAGAAAACTGTTTATATAGAATCCGGTGTCTGGCCACGTTTTTAACTGATGCTTGTCAATGACTCAACAGTAAGAAGTGAGATTCAAAACAACCTCAGGGATAATCTCATATCTAGAGCATTAAATTGTATTACAGATATTCTGAGGACAGAAATAATAAACTGCCCCATTATATGAGGGATCCATTTTCCTTGGGGAACATCAGGAATGAAAAGATTCCTATGCTACATTGTTTTAAACACCAGTTTCTATGTCATTTATGAATTGGCCAATTCTTCTTATAAAGGGCCAGATGATGACCTTTTTTTTTTTTTTTGGTGTTGCAGGCCACATATAGTTTTTATCTCATCTTTCTCTATTTTCCTCCCTTCCTTCCTTTCTTCCCTCTTAAAAATGTGAAATCATTCTTAGCTCAAGGGTCATATAAAAACAGTCTGTCGAGCTCTTAATCCTATTTACTTTTTAGGGGCATTAGGTCATAACAGCACTCGGCCTAGAAAACTGCTCAGTCAAAAAGCTAAGACAGGGTGAGGATGCAAATGTGATTGATGAGGTTTATAATTAAGAGGGGGTTAGCTTCAAAATTCTGGATGACTGAATGCCCACCAGATGTTTCTATTTTCTCTACCTACTTAGCTGTGACTATGACTTGGGCAAACCAGAGAGATGAAACACTTCTAGGCCCACCCATTGTATTTTTGCTGTCATGCAAAAACTCTCTGAATCAAAGGCAGCGCCAGTATTGGAGTGGGCAGAATTGTATTCTCAGTTCTCCATTCTTTCTAATAACCTTAATTTAAAAATATGATAAATGTATGCCTCTCCCCAACCCCATCTTATGGAATGAGCTGCAGAAATGTAGCTGAAACTTCTAATCAGAAGCCAGGCTAAGAATGTGGACTGGTCACATTTCTCAGCCTCATGGTTTGATTGATGATATATTTGTCCATTTTGAAGAACAACAGAAATGATGTGTAGGTTAACTAGTTTGAATTATCTGTCTCCTTCTGCATTTGTACAGATATCTGAGTTGGCTGTGATAGAAATAAAGAAATAATATCTTTAAGTTACCTACATTTCTGGAATTTTTTTTACATAAGAATAATTTCAATTACATTGTCGGTCCTTATAATACCTGAGTTACCAAAGGATCACTTTTTAAAACAGTATTAGTCACCAAATGAACCATTCACAAAATGAAGAACAGTTAAGTTCCTTGAAGCTAAACATTAAAGGCCAGAATGGGGCCAACACTGATAGTTTGCTAACTCTGTGAGAAAGAACACAAGGAATATAGAAAAATCATAGTTTTGAAAAATAAAAAAAGGTATGATTGAAGAATATGCAAAGGTTCTCATTTTTAAAATATCTTATATTCAGAAAATGCCATAAGAAATAAATTTATATTTTCCCACCAAGAAGTTGGATATCTGTTAGGGCATTTGATGCTTTTCTTTTTTAAAACTTGCATGCCAACAAGTATATTTAGTGCAGAGTTTAACTTTCCATAAAAATCTTTGGGTTAAAGATATTGGAGAGTAGGAAAAGGGCATAGCTACCATCCAAATACAGATGTTAGGGTCCCAGCCAGATGGCATTACTTTGATACCTCCCTTCCTGATTTTTGGATCAAATCCCTTGTCCCAGCAGATGTGAATAGACATCATAATACTGTTACCATTCTCAGCTTGGTAATAAAAGACAGCCTTGAAATTCAAGTAGCCCTTTGCCTCTGCATCAAACTTAGCTCTCAAATACCTTCTTGATAGTAAACATAATGTTGAATAATTCACACCGTGTGACTGAACCTACTTGGGATGACACAGAGGGGCAGAGCTGTATGACTAAAGTTAAATCAGAAAGTAGATATAAAATGATAAATAATCTTTCCTTGTAAACACAAATGGCATTACACTGAAACACGTTGAAATTATATGGTATTTGCCCAGAATGTTCTTGAGTTTGAGGAAATTTACCAGAATATCTGTCAATTACTCCTAACTAAGCCATGCTAACCAACGCTTTGCCTTGGAATGTGTATTCAAGAGAACAAAAACCCAGCAGTCTCTGTGGTGGAAAGCAGCAGTCTCCAGTTAACTTTAGCAGAACCAGGTGCCCAAGTGACTCAGAAGTGATGGTATACAAAATGAAAAGGTATTGTCAACAACCATTACAAAAGAAAGAGCTAAACAGCTTAAAAGTGGAGTACAGAAAATAATAAAAGGAAGAAAATGTCTGCCCACTCAAAGAAAAATGCACTCCATGATCTTAATTGCTCACAATTGAGAGTTTAAGCATTCATTATTTAAAAGTTAAGTCTTTTATGCATAAAAAAATACAGAGAAGGCCTGAGCAAAGTGTTAACAAGTAACTAGAAGCACTTCTTAGCCTCAAATTACCTATGAGGACAACGTATATTGAGCACAATTGGGGGAAAATATTTTAATTACTGCATGACATGTTCTTCATCCTTCTACTGATGGATTGATTATATTTGTGTTCCAGAAAGAGGCCCTCAAATTATGTAATTGAATATCCCTGTCTTCCCAAATAATGATGCTACCCTGAAAACTTGATCTGGAAGTAGAAAATTACTTTTTTTTTTTTTTTGAGTGGCCAAGCACAGGAGCTCAAACAATTCTGCCAATAATTGCGATGTTGGTAAGTCAGTACCTTCACCAGTTTTACATATCTCCTTCCATATGAGTGAGACATGGGCAGATTGGTGTGTTAGAAAGGGTCCTGGGTCAAAGTTTCAGGGGACATGGGATGTAAGACTAGACCATCAGGAACCCACTGAAATGCTACTGAGAAAATTCTGTCATCTCTTTCCATCTATCTGCTTCATTTTGAGCGAGGATGTAATAACTGCCCTCCCAGAATCAGAGACGTACAGGGTAATGTACCTGGACATCATCAAATGTGTACACAAAAAAAGTGCTCTAGAAATATAAAAGTAGGGAATTGTTCCACATATGGCTTATACGAATCTTTTCCAAGAAAAACAATTCCTGAAATGTTCCTTGGAATACTCCTTTGGACATTCTGAACTTGGCATCTTCTCAGTCTACCTGCTCTCCATCTTTTCCAAAGAAAGCATTATCCTATTGACCTCTGTGTTAAGAACATCATTCCTAATTCACCAGTGAACCCTTCAGATCTACTACTAAAGTATGCCCTAAGTCTGTCCGCTTCCCATTATTTCCACAACTAATGTCTTAGTCCTGACCTCATCACATCTGATAAGACTCACCTGACTGTTCCCCTTGCTGCCACATGTAGAGAGAGTACAGTCTACTTTCCGTAGAACAGTCACAGCAATCCTTTAAAAACAAAAAGTCTTCAGTTCAAACCCTTACTGGTGACTTCCTCTCCTGCAGAGAATTTTATCCTTTGTACTAATAACCCCCACAGCAGGGGGTGACTAATGACCTTTTCTGTATGGCCTGCAGGTTAGGAATCATTTTTCCAATTTTACATGGTTGTCACACAAAAATTATATTGAATTCAAATTTCAGTGTGCATAAATAAGTTTTATTGCAAAACTGTCACATTTACTCATTTATAGATTGTGTATTGCTGCTTTCATTCACACTAAAACACAGAATTGTTGATCCATAGACATTATGGTCTGCAAAGCCTACTATGTTTAACTTTTTGGCTTTCTACAGTTTGTCAACTTCTGCTCAGATTGGGTGACTTCTCTTTTTCTACCATTCACATTGTTACTCTGCTCCCACCATGCCAACTTACTCTGTTAAGCTTGTTTTTGTTATGGTATTATTTTGTCTTTTTTCCCCCTTTTTGTGGAGAATGGGATCTCACTATATTGCCCAGTCAGGTCTTGAACTCCTGGGCTCAAGCTGTCATCCTGCCTCTGCCTCCTTAAGAACTGGGATTACAAGCATGAGCCACTGCTCCTGGCCTATGGTACTATTTTATATGTTGTTTCCTTTTGCCCTTGGATACTATTTCCCTGAATATCCAAGGACTTCTTTCCTCACATTACTCTAGAATTTAATTGTTACCTTTCTGAGGGAGGGCTTCCTTGACCACCTATAGGAAATAGCACTGTTATAAAAATAAGAAGAGGACACAAGTAGTAGTTTGTTTCTGAAATATAATCCCGGGTTTGTCTGAATTCAAACCCTTCCCATTTAGATGTTGAACTTTTTCACTGTTAAGAATCAGTGTTAAATATCAGATATTTAATAGTCAATAGCTCAGATATAGTTTAGAGGACAAACTAGAAGTGGAAAATGACATGATTCTCTTTTTCCCAGTTCTTCCAAGAGCTTAGTGTGTGACTCTGGACCAATAATTTAGTACAATTAAGCCTCACTTTTTCTTTCAATGACTGAATAATTATTTCCTTTGATCTGCATAGTAAATATAATGGTTAACCATAGGCATAACCATTACATGAAACAAATGACTCAACGAAAATAGCAAGAACAACCAAACATCCCCAGAACACATTAAGCATGTATCATTCTCATCAGGATTTAATTTTACATTCTTAAATCCCAGACTATTTAAAAGGCGTGACTGTCTTTACAAAAAACTTGCTAAGGGTATATGTAACAATAGTACTTGTATTAGTTTCCTAGGGCTGTTGAAAAAAGTACCACAAATTGGGTGGCTTAAAACAACAAATATATCACATCGCAGTTCTACAGGCCAGAAGTTCAAAATAAGCAGGTTAGCAGGGCACATTCTTTCTGAAGCCTGTAAAGAAACTCTTACCTTTTCCTAGATATTGGTGGTTTCCTGGAAATCTTTGTCTTTCCTTGGCTTGCAGTGGCATGTAACTCTGGTCTCTGCCTTCACTTTCACAATGCATCTCCCTGTCTCTGTCTTCACATGGCTATCATCTTTAAAACACCAGTCTGATTGGATTAGGGGCCCAGCTTACTCCTGTATGATTTCATCTTAACTAACTGCATCAGCAATGACCTTATTTTCAAATAAGCTCACATTGTTAGACAATGGAAATTATGACTTCAACGTATTTTTTGAGGGGAGGCACAATTCAATCCACAACAGTACTCATAACATCAGGCAGCACAAAGCTGAAGCTTCAGGAGTTCGCAGTGTCAGAAATGAGATCCTGCAAATATGTCCATAGCATCTGGATATAGAAGAAAATTCATAGAAGAACCCATAGAAAGGGAGAACCCCAAAATAGGAGTAAACTCTTTGCCTAAATTCTAAGTTGCCAAATTACATGGGCCTAGGGGAAACCTCCAGGAGGCCAGACTAATAAAAGCAGCATTTGTGAGCTATATGAACAGAACAGATATATTAGTAGCTGCACACCAACGAGAAGACAAACATTGCATTAATGTCCAGGCAAATTAATTAAATACTGTAATAACAGAGCAAGAATTCTCAGACGATTACAGAATTCATTGTCATGACAGTGGATTACCTTCAATGTCTAGTTTACAACTCAAAATTACTAGACATGCAGAGAAACAGGAAAGTATGGGCCATAAACAGGAGGAAACAATAAATAGAAACTGACTCACAATGGTCACAGATGTTGGATTTAGCAGACAAAACCTTAACAGCAGCAATTTTAAGTATGTTCAAATAATTTTAAAAAGTAATATGTAATCAGTAGAAAGAGAACCTCCAGAGAATTAAATTTATAGAAAAATTATAAATTTGAGAACTAAAAAATTTGATAAATTTTAATAATTTACCAGAGAAACTCAGCAGATTGGAGATGGCAGAGTAAAGTATGAGTAAACTTGAAGATAAATCAATACAAATTACCCAATTTGAAGAATAAAGAGGATACACATTGATAGAAAAATAACAGAGCCTGAGAGGCTTGTGGAAGAGTATCACTCAGGCTATCCAATATGCAACCGCAATTCCCAAGAAACAAGCATGAAAATATTTTGAAAAAAATAGTTACAGAATTTCCCCCAAATTTGGCATAGAACATTTAATTCAGATTCAGAAAACTTAATGAATGTCAAACAGAACTAAAACAAAGAAAACTATTCGTAAGCACCTTGTAATTAAACTGCTGAAAGCCAAAGAAAAAAAAATCTTGAATTCAGCTAGAGAAAACACACACATTAATTACAGGAGAAGAAGGCTTTGATTGACTACTAACTCTCCTAAGAAATTATGGAGCCTGGATAATATTGGAATGACAAAGCAAATGGCTACACATTTAAACAATTGGTCAATAATTAATTCTATGCTTAGTGAAGCTATCCAAAAAAGGAAGATGAAATCAAAACATATTTAGATAAATATAAAGTGAGAAAATTTATTACCAGGAGGATAGCATTCCAAGTAATGAAAAAGATGTACATAAACATCTTTTATATACAGGCTATATCAACATATTTTTTTCTCTTAAATTCTTTAAAAGAGAAATGATTGTTTAAAGCAAAGACAACTTATTTGTGTTTATATTGTAGATACAAATGACAAATATTATTATATATATAGCTCAAAAGCCAGAAAGTAAATGGAAATATACTTTTGGAATGTTAATGGCATTAACTCTGAGTACATTGGGTTAAGTTTAAAATGAATATTGTAATCTACAATATTCTACTCAGGAAAAGAGGGATACTTTATAATAAAAAAATGGTCAACACAGCAGTATAATGTAACAATTATAAATGTATACACACCTAATAACAGAGCTTCAAAATACATGGAACAAAATCTGAGAGAACTTAGGGGGAGAAATAGACAAATATTTAATAATAAAGATTTTATACCACTCTCAGTGACAGATATGATCTGCCCTCAAAACAAAACAAAACAAAACAAACAGTAGGAAAATGGATCATAAGGACAGTACCAACCTAAATGGAAATAGAATACTACATCAGATAACTGTGGAATACTCATTCTTTTTATGTACATCTGGAGTTTTCATCAAGATAAGCCATATGTTGGGACATAAATCAAAATATATATTGATTATTGGGCATATTCTCTGATAAATGCGATTAAATTAAAAATCAGCAATAATGAAACATCTAGAATGGCCCTAAGTATCTGGGAATTAAATAATACTCTTCTCAAAAATCAATGAAAAAAAGCAATTTCATAAGAAATTAGACACTAAAATGAAATAAAATTTAGAGATAAAGCTAAAGTGGTGGTTGGGTGGAAATTTATAACTTTAAAGGTACATATTAGAAAAAGAGAAAAGTACTAAATTAATTATATAGGTTTCTACCACAGAAGGTAGAAGAATGGATTCCCAAAGCTGTCCATGCTTTAATCCCTGAAATCTTTAAATATGCAATACTAGATGGCAAAAGAAAGTTTGCAGATGTGATTAGTGGCATGGACTTTGAGATAGGGAGATTATTCTGGAGTATTTGGGCGGGTCCAGTATCATCACATGGGGCCTTAAAAGTGGAGAACCTTTCGCAGTTGAATTAAAGGTAGGAGATAGAAGAATGAAGAAGGGAACTTTGAAGTGTAAGAAGTATTTGACTCAGTATTCCTGCCTTTGAAGATTGAGGAGGAAGTCTACAGGTCATGGGATATGTGTGACTTCCAGAAGGTGAGAATGACCCTCAGCTGATAAGCAGCCAAGAAACAGGGATCTGAGTTCTACAACCCTAAGAAAATGGATCCTTCTCTAGTGTCTTCTGAAAGAACTACAGGCCTGCTGACACTTTGATTTTTGTCTAGTGAGATCTGTATCAGACTTCTGATCTACAGAACTCAAAAAGAGGAAACTTGTATAGTTTAAGCCACTAAGATTTTGGCAATTTGTTATGGCAGAAGTGTAAAACTAATAAACTCATTTTAAAAAAAAGGGGTAGAAGACACAAACTATTAATGCTAAGGATGACGGTAGAGATACTACTAGAGATCCTGTAATAATCAGGGGATAAGAGAATATGAATATTTTATGGCCATGAAGGTTGAGTATCCCTTATCTAAAATGCTTGAGACCAGAAGGGTTTGGGATTTTTGATTTCTAAAAGATTTTGGAATACAATGTTTGCATTATTCCTATGTACTAGTTCAGAATCCCTAATCTTAAAATCTGAAATCCAAAATTCTGCAATGAGCATTTTCTTTGAGCATCATGTTGGGTGCTCAAGAAGTTTTGAATTTCAGAGCATTTTGGATTTCAGATTTTCAGATTAGGGATGCTCAACCTGTACTTGGGATTACTCAGATGAATTATACAAGTTCTCTGAATAACATAAATGACCAAAACTAGTATAAGGAAAAATGAAAAATTTAATTAACCCTGTATCTACTAATAAAATTGAGTATTTAATTAAAAGTCTCCCCACAAGGAAAAGGCCAGGCACAGATAGCTTACTGGTAAATTCCATCAAACACTTAAGGAAGAAAAAAAATTACCAATTCTACACAAAATATTGCATAAAACAGAGAAGGAAGGAATACTTCCCAACCAATTTTATGACACTAGTATTACTCCAATGCCACACCAAAGACATTACAAGAAGGCAAGGTGACAACTGGTATCTTTCATGAAAAAAGACACCAAATTCTTAATAAAAGTATTAGCAAATCAGATCCTCAGTTCATAGAAGGACAATGCTCTTTCATTACGAAAACTCTCAGCAAACCAGGCATAGAAGGGGACTTCACCTCCTTTATGTGGTGAAGTCTCTGCATAAAAATACCTCATTCTCTACAGTGAGAGACTAAATGTGTTTCCCTTAAGACTGGGAACATGTCAAGGATGTTCACTTTCATTATCTCTACTTAACATTTCACTTGAAGTCCTAGATATTTCAGACAGCTAAGAAAAAGGATAAAAGACATACAGTTGGAAAGAATGAAGCATTTTGATCAAAAAGTTGATGGTGTATTTAGAAAATCCTAATAAGAATTTTAAAATATGCACGATAACATGGAAATTTGTTAAGATAGCAGTATAAGAGGTCAGTAAACAAACATCAATAATATTTGTATATTATAGCCACAAGCACTTGGAAAAAAATTTCACTTATTAAGACACTAAAACGTTATGCAAGGGGTCTTCAAAGTGTTCATGAAAAATGCATATTATGAAAACATTATGCATGGATTTCCATTTTTTTTGCACTGTAATAAGTTCATACTAACTTTTTATAAAACGTCTGAAGAGGATCTAGTTTGAGGCATACAAAGGATACAAGATGAGTTTGAAAAGAGCCCCTACTAGAGCAACATGAATTCCATGAAAACTGAAGAAAGAACAAACATCAAATTTAGAATGAAGCTTGGGTGGAAGAATGAGATCACTGATGCTTTATGTAAAGTTTATGGGGATAGTTACCCACATAAACTCACAATTTACAAATGGATAACTTGTTTAAAGGAGGGATGAGAACAGTGTTGAGGATGAAACCCACAGCAGCAGATGGTCCACATCAAATTGTGAAGAAAACATTTTTCTTGTTCACGCCCTAGTTGAAGAGGCCCAACAATTCACAGCAGGAGCAATAACCAACACCATAGACATCTCGAATGGTTCACCTTACACAATTCTGACTAAGAAATTAAAGTTGAGCAAACTTTCCACTCAATGGGTGCCAAAACCATTGTATCCAGATCAACAGCAATCAACAGCAGTGCTTTCAATAGAATTTTTAAACAAGTAGGATGAAGATTCTGAAGCATTTCTTTGAGGAATTGTAACAGGAGATGGAACATGGCTTTACCAGTATGATCGTGAAGACAAAGTACAACCAAAGCAACGGCTACCAGGAGGTGAAAGTGGTCCAATTACAGCAAAAGCAGACCACTCAAGAGCAAAGGTCATGGCAACAGTTTTATGGGGATGCTCAAGCCATTTTGCTTGTTGACTTTGTGGAGGGCCAAAGAAAGATAGTATCTGTTTATTGTATAAGAGTGTTTAGAGAACGCCAAAGCTTTATCATAGAGTCCTTCACCAAAACAATGCTCCTGCTCATTCCTCTCAAACAAGGACAATTTTGCAAGAGTTTCAGTGGAAAGTCATTAGGCATCTGCCTTGCATTCCTGATTTGTCTCTTTCTGCCTTTTTGTTTTCTAATCCTAAAAATTATTTAAAGGACACCATTTTTTCTTCAGTTAATAGTGTAAAACATGTTGCCTTGTCATCAGTTAAATTCTCAGGATTCACAGTTCTTTAGAGATAAACTAAGTGGCTGGTATCATTTCTTATAAAAGTCTCTTGACCTTGATGGTGCTTATGTTGAGAAATAAAGTTTACATTTTTTATTTTTAACTTTCAATTCCGTTTTTCCATGACCTTCTTGAAGTCCCCTTGAATATTTAGGAAAAATTTCACAACAATAGTGAAATACCTATGTACCAAAAACTACAATCCATTGCTTAAAGAAATTAAAGAACAACTACATAAATGAGGAACAACAGAAAAATTGTTTATGGATGGAGGACTCAATAGAGTTAACATGTCAATTTTACAAGTTGAATTTATATTCGATGCAATTCTAATAAAAATTTCACCAGAAGTTTTACTGGGGTAAATATTTATGAGCAAATTCTAAAATTTATATCAAAATGAGAACTTAGAAGAGCCAAAGCAATTTTTAAAAAGAGAAAGTTGGAGAATATACAGTATCTTTTTCCAAGACTTACTATAAAGCTAATCAATACAATGTGGAACTAGTGAAAGAATAAATGTATAAATCCATGGTACAGATCCCAGAAAATGACAAACACACCTACTGTCAAGTGATTTTTGACAAATAAACTAAGGTAATTAAGTGGGGGTAAAGAATAGTCTTTTTAGTAATGGTGCTGAAGCAACTGGCTCTCCATATGACAAAAAAATTGACCCTTGGTTTTTATTTCATACTAAACATAAACATTAGCTCAAAATGCATGATATAACTGTGTGTGAACACTGAAATTATAAAATTTATAGAGAAGCACTTAGGAGAAAAATCTTAGCATTTCCACTTTGTCCACACAAAAAAGTATGAACCGTGAAATAAATTTTTATGCTAGTATATTATAAGTGGTATATTGGTATATTGTGGTATGTTGGTATACTGGTGGTATACTGGTAATTTGGATTAATTCAAATGAAAGTATATTGTGCTTTGAAAACACACCATTAAAAATAATAGGAAAGTCACATACTGGGAGGAAATGTATTCCATACACTCATCTGAAAAGAGATGTCTATCCAGGAGAAAAAATAACTCCTACAACTCAATATTAAGATGACACATGGAGCCCAATAAAAATTGGACAAAATATTAGAACAGATACTTTACCATAAGCCAATGTGTTCATGAAAAGATGCCCCACATTATTCAATTTCAGGGAAGGTTTATTAAAACCACAGCGAGTTAATACTACATACCCGTTGGAATGGCTAACACTGAAAAGACTGGCAATACACAAAATGTTGGCAAAGATACCCAGCAACTGGAATTCTCCAACATTGCGGGAGAAAGTATCAAATGTTACAGCCACTTTGGAAAACTGCTGGGTTTTTTCTTATACATTTCAACATATCTCTACCATATGATCCAGCCTTTTCAATTCTAGCTGTTTACCTGAGAGAAACACCTATGCCTACATTAAGGCTTGCACATGAATATTCATACAGCTTTACTTATAACAGTTCCCAAATGGAAAGTACCCAAATGTTCATCCACAGGTGAACAGATGAACAAACTATTGCTTATTTATATAGTGAAATACTACTCAGCAATAAAAAATCTACTGATGTATGCAACAGTATGTATGAATCTGAAAGTCAGTACGCAAAATGAAAAAGCCAGACACAAAATCCATACTGCATAATTCCATTTATATGACATTTTATAAAATGTAAATTAATCTATAGTGACAGAATACAAATCTGAAGGCCTGTCTGAAGGCCAGGTGTGGAGGCAAGAGTCAAAGTGACACAAGAAACTTTTGTACGAATGGAAACTCTCTGCAGCTTGATTGTTGTGGCTTCACAGGTGTATAAATCAATGAAAGCTCATCAGATTGCTCAAGCGGTACTTTAAAAGGTACATAGAAATATCAGATTATGCAACGTTGTTTCAGGAGAAAGACATTCTTGTTTCTTGGATCACATGTAAGAAGCATTTGAACAGATGCTAGAACAGCATTCTCAACATATACTCACTATTCTGTTGCAATTTTCCTCTACAGTCTTGGGGGCATTAACATGATAATGAAGAAAACAGAAGGTATAAAATCATGGGGCAGGTATAACCACACATCAATTCAACACGAACACAGAGGTTAAGACTTAGAGCTTGTTAGCTGGTAATTGTCTTGTATTTTGTTTAAACCACAGGTGGACAAGCCCGCCATAACCATCTCTTTTCCTTACAAGTTACCCATCTTCCACTAGGATGGAATAAAAGAATTATAGTGTTGGATGGGGTCATTTCCTCTTTGTAAAGATGAGGAGGATAGAGGACTAAGTAGATTATGAATGACAAAGGCAGTGGGTGATGAGAAATGAGACTTGATACCTCCTGACACCCCATTCAGCGCTTCCTGCCCATTTTTATTTTACAGTAAAAACACACAAAAATTACAGCTGTTAAGACTACTTACATCCATAAGAATTTTTTCAAAAAACACAGGAAATAGAAAACATGTGTGGCTATAGGTGAAGAATTGAAGCAAATGAGAGAAGCAAACATTATGTCAGCTCCAGACACTCAGAAATAAAGTTACAACTTTTCTTGATCCCAATAGCCTGATACAATGCTAAGGTCATCATAGACTAATTAATCAAATTACATTTTCTAGTCTACCTGCTGCATTTCTTACTACATTGTAATTCCCCTGATGACCAAGACATGGCTTTTTCGTTTTTCTTGTTTCCTGAAGATTCTGATATACTTCCTGTCACATAGTTGATCCTCAGTGAACATTTATAATAAATTGAGCAACTGTCAAATGTCGTATTTTCAGGGAGCAATCCGTATACTTTCATGTTGCCTTTAATGTTTATTCTGGCATTATATATATTTTTGTCCATATGTCTGTGTGTAAAATAACAATGTGTATTCTCGTCAGAAGGTATTTTCTATTTCAACACCTGTGCAAGTAGAAGGTGAAAATCCTTCCCAAATGCCGCAAGAGCTCATGGCAAATGCAGAACTATTGTTAAGAAATTTTTCTCTTGAGCCTGTAATGTCATAGCACTTCAGTGAGGGCAGAAGAAAAGACAAACTGATATTACGTATCCTTAGGTAAAAGGATTTGGGGCTATTCCTGACTCTCTATTGAAAAAATAGGGTAAAATCTAACTAACATAATTTCAGTGTTATTCAATGTTTTGTTAATGGGGGAAAGCATCATTTTAACTACAGCAATCTATAGTGTTATGGACTGATTACTAGTTCAAATGACAGAGTCCTACAGTGAAACCCATAATTTTACATTGCGTTCTGCAAAAGATGATGGCAGTTCTTCACATTTAATGGTGTTGCTAGCTCAGAATCTTGTTAACACTCAGAGTCTGAGAGGTTGTGCTTATCCTTTCTTATTTTAAGCCAGAAGGAAAAATTTTCAAAGATCTATTGGCCTTTGTT